>NW_018654714.1:300000-589656 GCF_000001405.40 Homo sapiens
TCTGAAGGCATTGACCCATCCATTTTATCCAAAGAAGTCATTTTAAAACTTCTGGGTTCTGCTGATCCAGACAGTCTTTCAGAATTAGAATAAAATCTGTCTTCCCTTTGAGGAGGAAGAGCTGAATCAGGATATGATTGTCCTGGTGGAGGAAACATCATCTTACAGTCCTGTTCCACCGGAGATGACAGGGACCCAGTGTCAGAAGGAGCCCTGTGAGGATCGGTTAACCTGTCACAGCTTGGTTCTCCTCTTTCATTGGTAATCTGATGGTCCAGGGGATTCCCTGGGCCTCTTGGGCCTCTTCCTCCTCCCTCCGGAAGCACAGGTGAGAGTCCCAGTGGATCCTCCAACAAAGTTTGAGGAGAGAGAAAAGCTCTCGTTTCAGATGAACGCTGACCCAATGGTGCGGGACCATTCGGGGCATGCTCTCTGCCAAATGCTGTATTTGAAACATCAAGTGCATTAGGATCTTTTTCTAAAAGTTCAAATTTCAACTCTGTTTCAGTTAATTTTTGTTTGTTGTGAGCATTTTCTTTCCTTAAATCACTGAGGTTTCTTTCAGCAGTCCGAGCTGCCAACCAATTATCATGTCCTCTTTTCTCGTAGGAAATAACCTGCTTTTGATAAAAATGAACAGTTCTCTCCAATTCTTCTTCAAGATCTTTGGCTAGCTTTCTATAGGTCTCCAGCTGTTCAGTGGCACGGCTGAGCTTTTCTTCCACTTTAGAAAGCTTCTCTTCTTCCTCTATTCGGTAATTTTCCTCCACTGTTAATTTCCTATAGAGTTTCATTTCATCTTCTTGATAGAATTCAGTCATTATTTTAAGTTTCTGTTGAAGCTTCTGATTCTCACTTTCAAAATATATGTTTTCTGATTGCAAAGATTCTTGTTGAGTCTGAAGATTTTTAATATGCTCTGTAAGCTCTTCCTTTGTTTTGTCCACTTCAGATAACTGAATAATAATGTGGTTTCTTTCTCCTTCTAAGCTTTTTAAAGAAACATTTAACTTAGCAGCATGAATCAGTTTCTTCAAAGCTCCTTTCAGAGGATCATCTAAGTTAGCACCATTTTCCCATTGACTGTTCACTTCTAATTCCAGGTTATCATCATCCGTTGTGTCTTCTTCAAGCACAGCAGCCTGATCTTTCATCATTGGCAAGTGTCCAGTCAGGGTCTTGATGTGATTTTCTTTATCATTCAGAACTTGTTCTGCGTGTACTTTGGAGTCTTCAAATGTTATTTTCTGTTTATTAAGTTCACTCACTTCTCCTTTCCATACTTCAGCTTCTTGCTGAAAAAGCTGTTTATGGCTTGTCTGAAGTTGAGAATTTTCATTCAAAGCATCTTTTATTGCTATAGCCCGTCGTTCTTCACTCATTTTAAATGTCTTGCAGATGATTTTGGCTTCAGCTATTTGTGATTTGAGGGATTTTGACTCATCTTCTAGAGACTGTATACTTTTTGAAATATCCGCCATCAATTCATCTTGTTGAGAATGTTTAGATTTCTCTTCTTTTAAGTCTTTTTCTAGACAGAGGATTTCATCCTCAAGTTCAGAATTGGACCTGTTCAGCTTTTCACAGGTTGCCTCCAAACTTCGTGCTTCTTCTGCTGCCGCCTTCTCAAAGCTGGCATCCTCTAAAGATGACTCTACTTCATAGCCTTCATACTCTTTTTGAATAAGGCTAAACTTTTCAAGTAGTTTACATTTTTCTTCAATTAGTCCAGAAAGCGTTGCACCAAGTTTTTGCTCTCTTCCCACGTAAAGCCGACTCCTAACCGATCTAAAACTTCTCCACAAAAAAAGGAGAACAACAAAAAATCCAATAACAGCTGCACATACCACCAGTTCCGATGGAAAACCATAAGGATTCTCATCTGGTCTCATACTCTCAGGTAGTGCTGCCACAACTCTGCGTAGCTCCTCCAGGACCAGCCCCAGGTAGGGCTGAGGGGTAGCACCAGGCTCCTCCATAGCGTCGAGGCTGCTCTGGCGGTCACCGCAGTAACACTGGCCACAACAAGCGGTGGAGAACACGCAGCCTTGGGTCTGGAACCCGAATGCGCACGTGACAACCAACCGGAGCGGACCACTGTGGAGCGGGCTGCGGGGGGAGCTGGGGAACGCGGGCACCCACAGGCCTCACAGGCCCATGTTGTCCCCCACCACCTCCCCTGGCCCTCTTGTTACACTTCACATCCTGAGGCAGCGCTGGTCTGAGCCCGGCCCGCCTTAGTTCTGGCAGTTTTCACATCACATATTTTGAAGCTTTATTTTTTGGTGAATACACTTTTAAAATTGCTGTCTTCTTCATGAATTAAACCTTTGATCATTATATAATCTGTTTCTGGTAATTTTCTTTGCTTTATCTGATATACATACAGGCACTCTTGCTTTCCTTTCATTAATGTTTGTGTAATATATCTTTTTTCATCCTGTTAATTTGGCCTGCCCTGTATTGGTAAATTTCAAGTGAGTTTCTTGTACACAGCATGCAAGAAACATATAAGAAAGGGTCATACTTTTACATACACTCTTCTATTATCTGTCTCTTGGTAGACCATTCATAATTAAATGAATTATTGATACTTTAGTGCATAAGCCTGACAGTTTTTGTTTTCTCTATCAACTCTTGTGTCTCTGCTTGTTTTTCATGACTTTCTGTGGGTTATTTGAACATTTATTTTAGAATTCCATTTTGTTATTCATAGTGTTTATGATGTATCTTCTTTTTTATAGTTTTCTGGTTGCTTTTTATAGCTTAGTGGTTGTTCTAGATATTCCTTTATACATACATTATCACAGTCAATTGGTGTCATCTGTATTCCAGTTTGAGTGTAGTATAGCAACCCTGTGTCATTTTATGTCTCTTTACCCTCTCAAATTTATAGTATCATTGTCTTACATCCATTTAGATTAACACCAGACAATGCTATGATTTTTGCTTGAAACATCAAACATAATTTAGGAAATCGAAATCTATGCCAATAAATAAAGTGAGCATTTTAGAGCTGCCAGAAGGAAATAGGACACGACCTGCTTTGTCTTTCATTTTTTCTTTCTTTCCTTTATATTGATCATAGATATTATGATGCCCTATCTATTAACTCCAATATCTGGATTATCTGTGAATTTGTTTTTAATAATTGATTTATTTTTTATGAGTCTGTATTTCTTGCTTTTTTGTGTATGTGGTAACTTTTTAAAAGTATGCTGAGTTTCTGGATAATATGATATAGAAATGCCCAAAAATTTTGAATTTTTTTCTGGACAGATGTTATATTACCTGCAGATCACCTTGCTGCTCTCAAGACCTAGTTTTAAGCTGTGCTATGGTAATGATATTTTATTTTCCTCTTAGGACATATGCCTTACTCCTAGGATACTGTACCTCTCCTTAGACAGAATCTTTAGGGTCCCAACTGGGTTTCTCAGTTGTTTACCAACATTTCCCCATCTGGCTGGATCTGAAACCCAGTAGGTTTCCAGGAAATTTTCAGTCCCTGATGATCTCTTCTGCTTTCCCAGCAGTTGCTTTCTACTAGGTCTCTCCTCTTCTTAGCCAACTGTCACACAGCTAAAGAGTCACGGAAGGACCAAAATGGCATTTACACACCCATTTCCAGGGTTCTTTCTCTCTCCCATATGGTACATTAACCCCCAATTCCCAACCAGCTTATTAGCTTTGAACTCTATTTTTTGCTTCTTTTGGTTACCAAGACCACTAACCTCTGGTTGGGTCCCATTTTCCTGTACCAAGGTCAGGAAGATGCCTTTCTGGAAAACCCTGGCAAATGTGGTACTAACCTCATGTGTCTCACCTTCCTTAAAGATCTCATACCTGACTTGGTACAACAATGTTCTTCAATGCCTGCTGATATGGTTTGGCTGTGTCCTTACCCAGATCCCATCTTGAATTGTAGCTCCCATAATTCCCACGTGTAGCCTTGCCCACCTGAACCATGCTGAGGACCTGGTGAGAGGTAATTGAGTCATGGGGGTGGGTCTTTCCCATGCTGTTCTTGTGATAGTGAATAAGTCTCATGAGATCTGATGGTTTTACAAAGGGGAGCTCCCCAGCACATGCCCTCTCTCTTGTCTGCCATGTAAGATGTGCCTTTGCTTTTCCTTTGCCTTCTATCATGATTGTGAGTTCTCCCCAGCCATGTGGAACTGTGAGTCCACTAAACCTCTTTCTTTTATAAATTCCCTAGTCTTGGGTATGTCTTTATTAGCAGCATGAGAACAGACTAATACAACTGCCAAGAATTTTTTTTCTATATTTTGTCCAGATTGTATAGTTTTTTATCGTGGGAGGGTGAATGTGACACCAGCTACTTTGGTGTCAAGTAGCCAAGTCATGTACTAATGTGTTTTTAATGTAGAGCTATACAGTCTTCTTTCTATACTTAAATTTTTAATTAAAATATGATAATTAAAATATTACTAAAAATTTCTTAATGATTTTATTTCATGAGGGAAGAGACTTGGTCAGGAATGTGAAGTATGGCTTACAAGTATTTTCTTGCTAGCTGTGAAATAGATTGGAGGAAGTATTATCCGGTCCCCCATTTGGCAGATGCAGAACCTTGAGGTTAAAAGACATAAACAGTTTGAAGTTCACCTTATAATTGATTAGAAAGGGCAGACCTGAAACTCAGGTTCAGCATTAGACCTCCATGTCTTTGGCACAAAAACATACCATCTCTTGACTTTTGCCCTGTCTTCATAATTCCAAAGAGCCTGAGATTACTTTCAGACTATACCATTTTCCTTATTAGTAAGTAATCTGTCTGAAGGTCTGCATGAGACAGTCATAGTGTCAGCCAGAAGTCTGACATTCAAGCTCATTTCAAAGCCCCTGGAAATAGACTCTCTTCACTGCCTTCTGTGTGGACGTCCATTGCTCTGCAGTCTGAGACTTGAGTCCACACCAGGCAAACACCTCCCTAACTCCTCAGCCTCCATTCTTATCCCCACGGTCAAAGTTCAAGTCCTCAGCACCTCTCACCTGGACTGTTCCAGAAGCCTCCTCACTAGTTTCCCTACCTCTAGCCACAATCCCAACTGAGCTGTCTCCCAGAATACTGCCAAATTAACCATAAATTTCAGCTTAAAACCTTTCAGTAAATTCCTGTTGCCTTCAGGTAGAATCCTTCAGTAAATTCCTGTTGCCAACCTTCTCATCATCTGGGTCTGCCTTCACCTCCTGCCTCAAGTTCCAGGTTCCCATCTTTGCACCCCTTCTCCCGCAATTCCAAACTGATGATCGTTTTCAGAACATTTCACCACAGTTCATATTTCTGTGCATTTACAAATACTACTCTTTCTTCCTGAAATGGTTTTGCCCTCTTTCTATAACAGGGTTTCCTGAAATGGTTTTGCCTTCTTTCTATAACAGGGTTTCCTGAAATGGTTTTGCCTTCTTTCTATAACAGGAAAACTCCTGTTTATCTTTTAAAATCAGCACCTTGTCCCACCTCCCCACTCCGCCCACAAAAACAAAGAAAAGAAAGGAAGAAGGAAATACCTGATACTGGTAATTTACAATGAAAAGAAGTTGAATTGGCTTATGGTTCTGCAAACTGTACAGGGAGCATCTCCTCAGCCTCTGATGAGGCCTCAGGAAGGTTTTACTCATGGCAGAAGTCAAAGTGGGAGCAGACAGACATCTCACAAGGCAGAGCAAAAGCAAGAAAGAGAGAGTCAGGGGGAAGTGCTACACACATTTATAAATGACCAGATCTCTGAGAACTCACTTACTATGGTGAGGATAGCACCAAGCCATGAGCAATCCACCTCCATGACCCAAACACCTACCATTAGGCCCTACTTCCAACATTGGGGATTATAATTTAACATTAGATTTGGTGGGGACGTATCCAAACTATATCACTCTGCTTCAAGTCGGAGTGTCTTCCTGGAAATTAAAACTTTAATGTAGGCCGGGCATGGTGACTCACACCTGTAATCCCAGCACTTTGGGAGGGCAAGGCAGACAGATTACCTGAGGTCTGGAGTTCGAGATCAGCCTTACCAAATTGGAGAAACCCCGTCTCTACTAAAAATTCAAAATTAGCCAGATGTGGTGGCAGGTACCTGTAATCCCAGCTACTCAGGAGGCTGAGACAGGAGAATCGCTTCAACCCAGGAGGCAGAGGCTGCAGTGAGCCAGGATCGCACCATTGCACTCCAGCCTGGGCAACAAGAGCGAAACTCTGTCAAAGAAAAAAAAAGCTTTAATGTAATAGGCAGACTTCATGAAGATACATTTCATGAAGGTATTGAGTTGGGGGAGTGTACTGATTTATATATTTACCTTCAAAGCATTCTTTTGAATTATTCTGTCAGCATAGAAGACTACGTACATCCACTTCACCTCTACAGATGGGAGCAGCCACACAGCCAACTGAACACCCCATGTTTTCTCTTTGAGAAACAAACTACTTCCTGAGAGTTAGAAGTCTTCTATCCTAGAAAATTTGGTGTTAGTATCAGAAAGATAGACCAAGGCAAGAATATGCAATAAATATTGGCTTGTGCCCCACAAATGGCTGCTTTTTGGTCAGGAACGTGTGCCAGGATATTCTGTGCTGAAGGATCAGTGTCACTGCAAGTCCATGATGAATGCGCATTACTAAGCCACATACTCATAATTAATCTTCAGCGACACGTGAAGAAAACTAAATTTCAAAATGAAAAACGAATAAGTGGTAGAGCAAGAATGTGAAACAGATCATTGAATTCCAGAACCAGTGCCCTTAACTGAGAGAACATAGCATCATAGCTATTCTTTTCCTAATTGCAAGAGCCCAAGATATGCTTAAAGTGAAAAAATATATATATAAATTCACTTTCCTTTAGTGGCCTTTTTTGCTTTTTCATCTGTTCTATGAATCTTTATTCTGAGAGCTGCCTTTACTTTCTCTCTGATTGAAATGGGGATGACAACCAAGGGACCCCACCATTCTCATCATCAGAGTAGGTGTGACTACAGATGGCCAGTCTTAGCATTCCATGCCCTGGACCTCAAGACTTGACTATGAATGTTCAAACGACCTAAGTATAGCCAGTCAGTGTCCAGATGAGTGATAAAGGCATTAATGGAGAAATAATTTCTTTCTTTCTGAGATAATGATTTCTACAAACCATTTAAGCCTGGAATTGCCTTGTAATATTATCTTCACACAAAGAGAGCTTGATGGACAATAAGCACCATCACCACCCACCCCCACCCCTACCATACACACACACATAAATGACAAATCAAAGGCAAAGAGCGATACCCCTAGGGATATTGTTAAAGAATCTAGATATAGTACTGATTAAAGCTCCAGGTCAACATCTAGACATTTTTGTTTCCTTAATCAATAAACTGCTTTTTTTTTTTTTTTTTTTTTTTGCTTCTACTTGTTTCAGTTTAGTTTCTATTACCTGCTCACAAAAAATGTATCTAAAAGCATATGTACAATTTAAATAATAATTATAAAGGGAACAATCAGATCAGCAACAGATTAAGAAATAGAATGTTGCCAATAATTGAAGTCCTCCATATGTTCCTCCAAGTTCATTGTCCCTCTCCTACCACCAGATGGAACACTAATCTGACTTCTGTGATCATTCCTTTTGCTCCTTTAGTTTTACTACCTATGTGCACAAACTTAAACTACATAGTTTAGTTTTAACTTGTTTTAAACTGTATAAGAATACAAGAAAGTTATATTTTATGTAATCTTTTATGGCTTGCTTCTTTAGTGCAATACTGTGACATCGTCTGTGTTGATTTGTGTAGCTCTACTTCATTTTTCTTTCTGCCTAATACTCAATTATATAACTATAATACAATCAGTTAATCTATTTTGCTGCTGATTGGTTTTTGATTGTTTTTATTTGGGGCCTATCTGATACTACAAACATCCTTTACATGTATATCTGTGCGAGAGTTTCTCTGGCATACCCTAGGAAAGGAATTGCTGTATCGTAGAATATGCATAGCTTCAACCTTCTTAGATAAAACCAAGCTGTAGATAAAGACAAGTCAAAATCATATCACTTAGAGTATATGAGTTTCCATTGCTCTAGATCCTTAGGAACACTTGATATTATGAGATACATTTTTTTCCAAAGTGATGAGTGCATAGTAATATATTATTGTGGTTTTCATTTGCATTTTCCTCATTACTAATGATGTTAAGCAGCTTTGCATATATTAACTAAACATTTGATTTTTGCTTTTATTTTGAAGTGCTCATTCCATTTTCTTGTGTATTTTTCTATCGGATTTTCTGTATGTCACAATGTTTTAGATATATGAACTTGGTCAGTTACATGTGTGGCCAACAGCTTTTCCCACTCTGGGCCAATTTTCACTCTTCTTGTGGTGTATTTTAATAAACACAACTTCTTAATTTTAAAGTAGTCAAAGTTATTAATCTTTTTTATGATTAATACTATTTGTACCATGAGTAAAAAAAATTGTTTACCCAAATTCCACAAAGAGATTTTTCTATATTATCTTCAAAGAGTTGTATAAATTTTTAAGTTTAAATGAGTTTTGGGCATAGTGAACTAGGAATACAACTGTAGTTTTTTTAAAATATGGATTCCTAATTATAGCACTGTTCATTGAAAGGTTCACTCTTTCTGCCTCATCTACGGGGCCAAAAGTCTGGATCTGTGTGGATCTCTTTGCAGGCTCTCTATTCTTTTCTATTTTTTTTCTTCATCTCTATGCCAATGCTATACTATTGTAATATCTTCATAATAAATCTTGCTAATTATTCTACCTTAGTTTTTGTCAAGAACACACAATTATTCTTGGTTGTTTGTGCTTCCATTTAAATTTTTAAACCAGCTTGTTGCATTCCACTAAAACAAGTGAGTAAACAACTACAATAATGAAAAACCCTGTTGAGATTTTGATTCTAAGTAATTTTTTAAGAATATACATCAATTAGTGGAGACTTGAATTTTTTTTTTTTTTTTTGAGGTGGAGTCTCGCTCTGTCGCCCAGGCTGGAGTGCAGTGGCACGATCTTGGCTCACTGCAACCTCCACCTCCTGGGTTCAAGTGATTCTCCTGCCTCAGCCTCCCGAGTAGCTGGGACTACAGGTACCCACCACCATGCCCAGCTAATTTTTGTATTTTTAGTATAGACAAGGTTTCACCATATTGGCCAGGCTGGTCTTCAACTCCTGACCTTGTGATCCACCCACCTCGGCCTCCCAAAGTGTTGGGATTACAGGCATGAGCCACTGTGCACGGCCGAGAATTGATTTTTTAAAAATTAGTTTTCCAGAGGGGAGGAGGCAAAGCAAGATAGCGGAATAGAAGGCTCCACTGATAGTCTGCCCTGCCACCACAAGGACACCAGGTTAACAACTATCTACACAGAAAAAATACCTTCATACGAACCAAAAATCCGGTGAGCCCTCATAGTACCTGGTTTTAACTTCATATGGCTGAAACAAGCACTGAAGAGATAGAAAAAAAACAGTCCTAAATCAAGTATGCCACCCCTCCTGCACCCTTCAGCAATCATGGCGTGGTGCAGAGAGCGTCTCTAGGTGCTGGGGAAGGAAGAATACAGCAATTGTGAGGCATTGAACTCAGTGCTGTCTTGTTAGAGCAGAAAGGAAAACCAGACCAAACTCCTACAGAGGCCTATGATATTTACTGAAATCAAAGAAATCCTTTTATTATTCTAGAAAGAAGTTGCAATATGACTTTAATATCTCCCCAGTTTTTTTCTGTCTTGTAACCAGCTATAAAACTTTGGGTGATATTGGTCATCAGATTGAATAAGAGGAAACTTTGCAATGGTCCCCTTTTCCCCATTTATACATGCAAGAATCAGAACTTATGGGAATATTTTTAGCAATATTTTTGTGGGGGACGATGATGAAAACTTTCAGAGGAAATAATTAGCTTTTAATTAAATTTCTTGGCCCTTGACATTGTACGGTCCTTGTCTTCATCTCTTACCATGCCTGTTTCTTCTCTCTCCTCACTTGAACTCAGCCAACATTAATTTTGGAGACACTTTTCTCTGAATTATCACCTCACCTTGTCCTGCTTTGTCACTACACTCTGGATCAAGGGCATTCCTCTAAATTGGAAGATCCCCAAGTGTCTTTATATAACTCGAGTCTTTTCCTGACTCTCCTCAAGATGGCACCCAAAGCACAGGCTCCAGCCTCTTCAACTTCGCCGTCCATTACTAGAAAGACAGATCTTTTCTAAAACTCTAACACAGCTTTAAAAAAACAGAAGGCAGGCTCCCCGTAAAAGATCTAGAGAGATGGTATCACATGGTAAAAGAAAACCAAGAACTCGCCCAGAACAAAGTGCTGCAAAGAACAAGAATGACCACAAGAAGTCTTGCAAGTCCAGAGGGAGCAGATGGGGGAAACAGATAAGTCTCAGGAATGCAAGGATAATGTATTCCTAATACATCTATTCGTTCTCTGAATTCACAGATTACAAGAAAAAAAAATTTATGCTCATGCCAAAAAATAAATTGAAAAAATCCAAGTCCCGATGATGGTTAAACATTAGCAGCATAGTAAAATAGAAATAAACTTCCTATGAGAAGTAGTATATCTACCAGAAACCTTCGGCAAGCATTATACTCAGCTGTAAAAAGTCAGATGCATTCACATTAAATTCACAAACAAAAGAATGTTCACTCTCAGTGTTACCTTCAACATACTCATAGAGGTCCTTATCAGTGCATTAAGACAAGAAAAATAAACTGGACAGAAATAAATAAAAGTCATAATATTTGGAAAATATGATCCTTTATAATTTGAGGGTGGATCTAATAGACTTAGTTGATGAATTGGATGTGATAGGGACAGGTAAACAAAGATCAAGGATGATACCTAGGCTTTTGGCTTGAGCCATCAGTGTTTTTCAGAACTTTAACTGAGATAATGGAAAATGAGGGTACGGGATGAAGAGAAAATAGCTAGACAGTTTGAGATATGAGTCTAGACTTTAGAGGTTTGGGGTACAGAATGAAGAGAAGATATTAGATAGGCAGTTTAATAGATGAATCTAGACTTCAGAGCAGAGGTCAGTTCTGCAAATATAAATTTAGAAGTCATCAGAAAATAGATGGTATTCAAAGCTTTAGGCCAAATTGAAATCTCAGAAAAAGAACATTGAGAATGCTGCAAACCAACATTTTGAGGCAAAAAAAAAAAAAAAAAAAAGAGAGAGAGAGAGATTTGGAAGACTAGCTCCATGAGATAAGAGAAAAGCTCAAGCTTATTATAGCATCACATAGCTGTGGGAGAGAAGTTTTTTTGGGGGGAGGGAGTGGGAAGGAGTGAGATCGAGATGTCAACATTCATATGTTATTGAATGCTGATAGAAAAATCATATAAATAAAGATGAAAAAGTAACCTTGAAATCTATCCACATGGGACTACTGGTAACCTTGACAAGGTAACGTGGCAGATGAGTTGGAAAGCGAGCTAGGGTGGGTTGAGGAGATCAGGGAAGTGAGGAACTTGAGAAATCTCATGTTCAAAATGCTTTTGATCATTGTTCTTGATAAGGAAGCAGAGAAATCAAGGGATAACTAGAGGGATAAAGGACCCAGAGAAGAGCTTATTTTTTAAGGTGATGAGATACTAGAGAGTATTTTTACATTGATGTAAATAATGCAGTATGGGGAGAGAGATTATGACTTATGTGTTGGAAAGGGGGGGAAGTAAACTAAATTTAATATTATATAAAATTGTAAAATAGTTTACAAGAGAAACCATTTGGATAGAATGTGATCCATAAGTCAGCCTGACAAACTAATTTTCTATCAACTCATTTGGATTTGAAGTTTGTTCTATGCTTGACTTTTAAGAAACTTATGTGTAAAAAAATGCATATTTTTCTTTTAAAGAAATTTGGTTAGCTCAGAGTATTTTGGTGTTTTTGTTTTGTTTTGAGACAGGGTCTTACTCTGTCACCAAGGCTGGAGTGCAGTGGTGTGACCACAGATCACTGCAGTCTTGACTTCCCAGGCTTCAGTGACCCTCCTACCTCAGCCTCCTGAGTAGCTGGGACCACAGGCATGTGCCACCACGCCTGGCTAATTTTCCTGTTTTTGGTAGAGACAGGGTTTCACATGTTGCCCAGGCTGGTCTCAAACTCCTGAACTCAAGCAATGAACCTGCCTTGGCCTCCCAAAGTGCTGGGATTACAGGCATGAATCACCACACCCAGCCCGAGATTGTTTTTAAATAGCAAAATATCTGGGATTTTCCCCCAGTAATGGCACCTTACTTCCGAATATATCTTTGGTATCTGGGATGTACCTATATTAACAAAAGGCTTATTATTAATAATTCATAGTTCAAAACTTTCTATGGATGAAAAAGTGCAGATTTGACTAGAATAATACAGACTGCCTATCTGCTCTCAACTCACTTGATTTAGTTTAATTTTAACCAGAAAAGGGGGCATTTTTAGTTTTCTTTTTCTTTTTTGGCTGCTCAAGCATTTGGATCCTAATTCTGTCTGGGGGCCTCCTAAAACAGTCAGATTCTTAATGGAAGATAGGCCCTTCCTATTTTTAGCCAGTGCACTAGCTAAAAATGCCAAATACATATATTCCTTCCCCTCAACCCGTGTAGCTAGACTGTAGTCAGTTCAAGTCCACGAGGCCATTGAATCTTCTGCAGATGACACTAGGAAGGTGTGAGTGTATGGAATTAACTCTGTTAGTGGCATTCAATGGCCAGTGGCCATAGCAATAGCATTATAACCAATTCTGGTGGCGTAATTTTGACTGTATTTCTGAACATCCAGATCCTAGTTCCTGGTGGTCAGGTTTGTTTCTCCACATACTCTACCAATTATGAGAGCAATCCAAATCACATCTAATAAATTCCTACCTTGCAGAGTTAACCGAGGCTTTCCTTTTGGTTGATTGCTAACAAGATCCCTGAGTGATACACCAGATAAAACACACCTGCGGTATCCTCAGGATAACCTGAGAGCCTTTTTCTCCAAGAATGCCACCCAATTCTTGAAATTTCTGGAAGCCCAAATAGTACCTACATTTTCCCGTTTGTATTGGGTCCTACTTGGCTCACAACGGTCTAAATTATTTTTCAAAGTTCAGTATCCATTTATTGTGAAGATAAAGGTGCCTGTGTTGTGATCCCTGCATGCGATGAAAAAGTGCCATGTGGAACTGTTAGTTTGAAAAAATTCACCAAGAGGAGGCAGAAACTCATGAAATATTAGTTGTTGAAATCAAGAGTGAGAATCAGTTTTAGATTCTCATGTTTTTGGAACATTTCAAAAGACTTAATATTCTGGTAAAAAAAGAAATTTATATATTCTGGGATAATGATAAATATATCACTTTGCTACAATTCATCTCGGATTTTTGTCTCCTTTCTTACTGTTTTAGCTTTCCGATTTTGCTTTTGTCTTCATGCTGCACCTCATCTTCCTTCTAAGCTTTCAGACTAAACATTCCGTTCCTTTACCTGTAGAAAAAAAAATGTGGTTGTGGATGTGTTCCTTTTATAGTAAGTGCTGAAAAACTATAAACTTTAAGCCAAAAGGACAATACTTCTTTCAAAACCCTTCCTTTAACAAATCACTTTGCAGAGCATTAAAAAGACCATAAAGAGACAGTACGTTTTCCCCAGCCATTGAAGGTATGATGAATGGTACAACCTGAGAGTGAATGGAAGAGCCACTTTATAAAGTTTAAAGAACCAATACTTGGGCTTAGTTATGGACTTCACACTAACCAGAGATACAAGGCATTTTAGCCGAATGACAGTGGACCGAACTAATCCTATAAAGTGACAAGGGGAAACACTGGGACCCTCCACTGTGACATATCTTGGAGTGAAGGCTTGGCAGGAAGTCAGTCTTGCATAAACATAAAAGCCAAACTCTTTTAGAAAACATATTATCAGAGATGATTTATTTTTATATGAGAATAGTTCTTTTAAAAAATATTTTAGATCTTTTTCTTGAATATAAATATTGATTTACTAATATGACCTGTCTTTTTTCATTCTCTAGACAACAATGATTTCTTAAGAAGAGGCAAATGGAACTCAGAATAAGCAATCATAGAATACAAGCATAGAATAATTTCAATAATTTTTGCATTTGAACACAAAAAATGAGCTACTAAAAGCATAGCCCCCTTCAAGTTGTAATTCAAACACATAACATAATTTGACTTCAATAGGCAAAGCAAATGACACTTACTTGGAAATTTCTAAGGTACTTACAGAAAGTCAAGGAGAGGACTTAAAGTGAAGAAAAAATATGTCTGACTAATAGTGAATAAAATTATTATTGATGCAAAAAGCATTGTTGAATGAAATCTTTTCAGCATCTTAAATATATAATGGTCTAAAGCTTGACCACCTCAAGTTCTTTTTAGAAGCAGGCAGAGGAAAAGAGAGAAAGAATGAATATAAGAACATTTACATCCAGAGTATACAACTCCAGAAGATAGAATTTATTCCTGTTTCATCTTTGTGTGCACTTTTCCCCATGGTTAACCAGTGCATTGCACTAGAAGGCTCAGTGTTTGTTGAATAAATAATCCCAGAAATAACTAGAAAATAGTGCAGAACAGTGAAGAGAGAGCTTAAGTAGAGATCAGGAAAGATACAGCATCTTCTTCCTTTCTTTACTATGTTGAGATACTCTCTGAGCATTGTTTTCCTTATTTGAAAAATGAAGAGTCAAAATGCCTTAAGTACCTTTCAGTTCAGAAATTCTTTGCTTTGAGAGTAAATATACTTAAGATTGAGTGCTAGAATTCAGAATTTTGCAGTGCAAGTTAAAAAATAATTCTATCTTTGGGGAGAAAAAAAATGGGGTTATATTTTATTTATTTTTTATACTCTGTCAGTAGACTAAAGGGGGTCTTTAATTAGTAAAATTGTACATTTCAATATGTTCATGCTTGCACACAGAAAGGTGCTGAGTACCTGCCATGGCTGTACTGCAATGTCTATTGTAAATGTTAGCTCTTTGGGGGGCAAGCATACCCACATTCATATGGCATTTCCTAAGCCTGTTTTCCTTCTCAGCGTTAAACTCACTGATGCAAACTGCCCAGCTGTGTTTTAATTAAACTTCTACTCCCACTTTCCTTTGGGCTTTTCAATCATATACGCTTCTCTTTCCCCTCTTTTCCCCATAGTCTTCTCTCTCTTTTCCCTAAACTCCCGCCACATAGGCCTGTGGTGAGGAGAGCTGACAATAATGAGGCCCCAGGAACTGGTTCAAAGCCTGCTGTAAAACTTTTTAAATTAAACCCTTGAGATTTTAAGAGTTTGTAATTAGAATGCATGGTTTGAAATGAATTAACATAACCCTGCCATCTAGCTGGCATAACCCAGTGCCCATGAGTCTGCTGATCTCTGGGTGCTTAAGCCCTGGCAGAGCAGACTGTTTCTAACCATTGACCATCCTGTCCCAAAAGTGGGCAATGTCTTCTTTGAACCTTTTGGGAAGTGTCCCAAATTCTCCTCCTATTGAACTGTTAGAATGTGCTTAATTTTCCACTGTAAGAATAGGTTGCTTTGATGAGTATCTATTGGGATAAGTTTTTGCCTTTGTGAAATTTCTTCAAAATAGATTCCCAGAAGTAGGATTAGAGTGGGAAGGGTAGAAATATATTAAGGGCTCATCATAGATGCCAAATCCCTTTCTTTTCACTCATCCATACAAACAAATACTTATTGAGCACCTGCTGTGTACCAGGTACTCTTCTAGGTGCTGAAATTTGGTTGTGAACGAGATAGGTGAAGTTTCTGATATCGTGGAATACTACTTTACTGGTTAAGGAAGACAATCAATAAGTGGGCAAAAAATACATAATATAATTATAAATGGTAACAAAAGCTATAAAAACATATAAAATGGAACGATAGAGAATAGGGGTTGGCTTCTGTCCTTTTGCAGTCCATACAATTTATCAGGAAAATTGGTCAGCTTTTCCTTCTAAGTACGTAGAGAACTTAATATCTTCTCTACCTCTGTATTGTTATCTCCCTAATCCAGGTCACCATCATCCTTTGCTTGGACTTTTGCAAGAGTTTCTTAATTGATCTTCCTGCTACCATATTACCCCCCATAGTCTGTTCTCCCCACAGCAGTCAGAATGATTCTTTTAAAGTGTAAGTCAAGTCATATAACTCAGCTGCAGAACACTTCCAATAGCTCCCTTCTCTCTCAGTGTAAAATCTGTCATTTCCATGGCTTGTAGAAGAATCTGCGGCCTGGACACTGCTGCTTCTCTAAACTCATCTCTACCATTCCCCTCCCCAGCTGCAATCCTTTCAAATTTCAAGCATGACACTTCCTCAGTGACTTTGCACTTGCTGTACCCTCTGTTTGGAATATGGTTTCCCCATATATATCTCACTCCTTCAGTTCTTTGCTCAAATATTACCTTTTCATAGAAATAGTCATTAACCATCCCAAATAAAATAGTGTGGCATTCCCATGTCTCTCTTTATCCTACTTTCTTTCTCTTCATGGCACTTATCGTCACTTGACATATTTATTTGTATATTTTATTGACTGTTTTTACCCACTAAAATAGAAACTTCATAGATCAAATACTTTATCTGTGCTGTTCACTGCTATATCCCCAGTATCTAAATTGATACCTGGCACATAGGTAATGGCTCAATATTTGTTAAATTAATGAAGAAATTAATGACTTTGTTTGAACCTGGTGAGAGATTTCTTGGAATATGCTGTGAGTCTAGACCATGTGTCCTATCCAAGTTGTTTTTAATTTTTATCAATGTCATGGATCAAGAAATAGTAGAGGCCCAACAAACTATATGCTGTCTTGGAGTCCAGCAGTGCTGGAGCTGGGGCTCAAGAGAAGTGCAGGCTGTGTCCCCAAGATCTAGGCGTGAGTGACCCTGGGCTATCACACCTGGGGCTAAGGTGCAGTGCTGCTGGGACTGAGGTGCAAGTGGTGCACACATTCCCCATCCATTGGCCTATGCTGTTGCCAATGAAGGCAGAACTACCCTCCCCAGTGGCAGGATAACAGCACAGTTGTTTCTTCCCCCAGTGCAAGCATTCCACCAGTGGCCTGCGGATCACCCAACCCCTTTGTACCTTGGGTGGCTCCTCCACACGCCACTGGAGGCCTGAGGACAAGCTCATCTGACCCAGATTTACCCCCTCTCCATAAAAGAGCACATAGTCTAGGGGCCAGGGGATTTCCCAACTTGGTTCACCACCATCGGAACCTAAACACTCCTCCCAGGGGCCTACTCACCAAAATGAGAATACCACAACTGGCACTTATCTGCATGTGCCGCCTGCAAGCCTAAAGACTGGCCCATGCAGCCCATTGCAGCCACCACCAACACCAGCACATACTTCTCAAGACCCAGAGGATTGTTCTGCCACTGACTCTACCTTTGCCCATGCCATACTGGTTGCCTAGAGGTCCAAGAACCTGCCACCCACCTTGCCCAAAGTTGCCACTACCAGCATATGAGTAAGCTTCCAGAAGGCCCAAGGGTTAGCCTGACTGTACCCACTAATACTAGTGCCAGTTTACACTGCCCCCCGGTGCCCAAGAACAGGCATGCTCAGCCCAACACTGGTACCAATGGTGCTGGAAAACTGGCCTACTTGGCTTCCCAGTCCCCAGCAGAACTTCACCACAGTTTCCAGCTGTACCCTAAGCCACCAAGGAGATCACAGATACCACTGATGCTGTTGAAAGCTACACTACTGCATGCACCCAGAATCAAACCCAAAACATTCTACCCAACAAACACCATAGATACATCTTCAAGAAAGTTTTCCTTTATAAAAGCAAATTCAACAAGTTGGAAGAAACTAATATTATTTCAGATATGTCAATATCAATGTAAGAACACAAGAAACATGAAAAATCAAGGAAATATACACCTCCAAAGGAACAGAATAACTCTCCAGCGATAGATTACAATAAAAAACAAATGAATGAAATCATGGGAAAAGAATTCAAAATTTGAATATTAAAGAAGCTCAGTGGAATACAAGAAATTTCTGAAAAATTACAAAGAAATCAGAAAAACAATTCAGGATATGAATGAGTAATTTGCCAAAGATAGAGATAATAAAAAAATAGCCAACCAGAAATTCATAAACTGAAGAATTCATTTAATGAAATACAAAATATATTCAAAAGCTTCAACAAAAATAGACTAGATCAAGCAGAAGAAAGAATCTCAGAACTTGAAAGCAAGTCTATTGAAATAACACAGCCCAACAAAAATACAGAAAAAAGAATAGGCAAATTCTTCATAGTATATGAACCACCATAAAGTGGCCAAATTTTGAATTACTGGGGTCTCAGAAGGCAGAGAGAGAACAAAAGGATTAGAAAACTTATTCAACATAACAATACATAACAACTTCCCAAATCTAGCAAGAGATTAAGGCATCTAGATACAACAGGCTCTGAGATCCCCAAACAGATACAATGCAAAAAAGTTTTCATGAAACATTACAGTCAAAATGTCTACAGTAAAATACACAGAAAGAATTCTAAAAACAGCAAGAAAAAACATATAGTCACCTTTAAAGGAACCCCCATCAGACTAACAGTGAATTTCTCAGTAGAAGCCTTTCTGCCAGGAAAGAATGAGATGATATATTCAAAGGGCTAAGAAAAAAATATATATATTGCCAACAAAGGATCTATTTCCAGCAAATTATCCTTCATAAATGAAGGAGAAATAAAAAAGTCTTTCCCAAAGAAGCAAAAGCTGAGAAAATTCATCACCACTTAACTGGTCCTCCAAGAAATGCTCAAGGCAGTCCTAAACCTGGAAGAAAAAGACAGCATTTACCATCACAACAACACAACGAAGTATAAAACTCACTGGTAAAACAAACACACAAATGAGGAAGAGAAAGAACTCACACAGTACCACCATACAAAACTACCAAACCACAATGACAAACAATAAAAGAAAAAGAAAGGAATGAAGAATATACAAAACAACCAGAAAACAATGAACAATATGACAGAAACAAAACTTCACATCTGGCCGGGTGTGGTGGCTCATGCCTGTAATCCCAGCACTTTGGGAGGCTGAGGCGGGCAGATCACCTGAAGTCAGGAGTTTGAGACCAGTCTGGCCAACATGGTGAAACCCTATCTCTACTAAAAAAAAATACAAAAATTAGCCAGGCGTGGTGGCACGTGCCTGTAATCCCAGCTACTTGGGTGGCTGAGGCAGGAGAATCACTTGAACCTGGGAGGCGAAGGTTGCAGTGAGCCGATATCATGCTACTTCACTCCAGCCTGGGCAACAGAGTGAGACTCTTGTCAAAAAAAAAAACAACTTCGCATATCAATAATAACCTTAAATGTAAATTGATTAAATTCTCCACTTAAAAGATACAGACTGGCTTAATTGATTAAAAGAAGTATATATGATCCAACTATGTGCTGCCTACAAGAAACACATTTTACTTGTAAAGACACACACAGACTGAAAGAAAAAGGATTGAAAAAGATATACCATGCAAACCTAAACCAAATGTGAGCAGAAGTTGATTTACTTATATCAGATAAAAGAGACTTTAAGTCAAAAATAGTAAGAAAAGGCAAAGAAGGTCATTATATAATGATAAACAGATCGATTCGGCAAGAAGATATAATAATTTTAAATATACATGCACCTAGCATTGCAGTACCCAGATTCATAAAGCAAATATTACTAGATCTAAAGTGTTGTGGGAAGTCAGGGACCCCGACTGGAGGGACTGGCTGAAGCCATGGCAGAAGAACATAAATTGTGAAGACTTCATGGACATTTATTAGTTCCCCAGGTTAATACTTTTATAATTTCTTAAGCCTGTCTTTACTACAATCTCTGAACATAAATTGTGAAGATTTCATGGACATTTATCACTTCCCCAATCAAAACTCTTGTGATTTCCTATGCCTGTCTTGTCTTTAATCTCTTAATCCCATCATCTTTGTAAGCTGGGGATGTATGTCACCTCAGGACCTGTGATGATTGCTTTAACTGCACAAATTGTTTGTAGAGCATGTGTGTTTGAACAATATGCAATCTGGGCACCTTAAGAACAGGATAACAGTGATTTTCAGGGAAATAGGGAGATAACCTTAAAGTCTGGCTGCCTGTGGGCCGGGCAGGACAGAGCCATATTTCTCTCCTTACCAAAAACGGGTAAGAGAAATATCGCTGAATTCTTTCCCTAGTAAGGAATATTAATAATTAACAGCCCTGGGAAAAGAATGCATTTCCAGGGGGGCCTCTAAAATGGCCGTTCTGGGGGTGTCTGCCTTATGCAGATGTAGATAGGGATGAAACACGCCCTAGTCTCCTGCAACGCCCCCAGGCTTGCTAGGATTAGGAAATTCCAGTCTGGCAAATTCTAGTTAGACAAGTTCTCTGCTCTTGAACCCTGTTAAGATGTTTATCAGTGACAGTGGGTGCACAGCAGGACATGGAAGTTCATTAGTGATTCTAGTTTTGCCCTGAACTTGTGATCTTGCCCTGCTCATCTGCCTTGTGATCTTTTGTTGCCCTTAAAGCATGTGATCTCTGTGACCCACACCCTATTTGTACACTCCCTCCCCTTTGAAAATTGCTAATAAAAACTTGCTGGTTTTACCGCTCAGGGGGCATCACGGAACCTGCCGACATGTGATGTCTCCCTCTGACACCCAGCTTTAAAATTTCTCTCTTTTGTAGTCTTTCCCTTTATTTCTCAGACCAGCCGACACTTAGGGAAAATAGAAAAGAACCTATGATGAATTATCAGGGGTTGGTTCCCCCAATACTAAAGAGAGAGATAAATTCCAGTACAACAACAGTGAGGGACTTCAACACCCCACTCTAAGCATTAGACAGGTCATCTAGATGTAAAATCAACTAAAAAATATTGAATTTAACTGGACTATAGAACAAATGGACCGAACAGACACACCTACAGAACATATTATTCAACAACTGCAGAATACGCATTTTTTTCTACTCAGCATGTGGAACATTTTTCAGGATAGATCATATTTTCAGCCACAAAAGAAGAAGTCTCAACAAATTCTTAAAACTTGACATTATATTAAGTATTTTCCCATACAACAGTGGAATAAAACCAAAAATTAATACAAAGAACAACTTTGGAAGCTATACAAATACCTAAAAATAAAACAACATGGTCCTGACTGAAGAAATAAAAATGGAAATAAAAACATTTATTGAAACAAATAAAAATGGAAACACATGATGCCAAAATCTGTGGAATACAACTAAAGCAGTACTAAGAGGGAAATTTATACCAATAAACATCTGCATCAAAAGAAGTAGAAAGTTTTCAATTAAACAATGTAATGATGCACCTCAAAGAATTATTATAGAAAAGGAAGAACAAACCAAACCCAAAATTAGCAGAAGAAAAGAAGCAATAAAGATAGGATGAGAACTAAATAAAATAGAGACTAAAAGACAAGGATCATTAAAACAAAAAGTTCTTCAGAAAGATAAACACAACTGACAAACCTGTAGCTAGACTAACCAAGAAAATAAGAGAGAAGGACTAAATAACAAAATTAGAAATAAAAAAGGAGACATTACAGCTGATACCAAAGAAACATAAAAGATCATCAGAGATTATTATGAGTAACTATACACTAATAAACTGGAAAGCCTAGATAAAATAGATACATTCCTGGAAACATACAAACTACCAAGATTGAATCAGGAAAAGATAGAAAACTTGAACAAACCAATAATGAGTAGTGACATTAAATCAGCAATAAAAAGACTCCCAACAAAGAAAAGCACAGGACAAGATGGACTCACTTTCAAATTCTATAAAGAACTAATATCAATCCTCCTCAGACTATTCCAAAAAATCAAACAACGTGGAATTCTCCCTAACTTACTCTAGGAGGTGAGCATTGCCCTGATACCAAAACCAGACAAGTACACACACACAAAAAGAAAACTACAGACCAATACCCCTGATGAACATAGACACATAAATTCTCCACAAAATACTAGTAAAATGAATTTAACAGCATGTCAAAAAGATAGTACCCCATGAGCAAGTGGGTTTCATCCCAGGGATACAAGGATGGTTTAACATATGCAAATGAATAAATGTGACACATCACATGAACAGAATGAAGGGCAAAAACTATATGATCATTTCAATAGATGCAGAAAAGGCATTTGATAAAATTCAACATCATTTCATTATAAAAACTCTCAACAAACTAGGTATAGAGGGAACATACCTCAAAATAATAAAGGCCATATATATGACAAACCCACAGCCAACATCATACTGAATGGCAAAAAGTTGAAAACCTTTTCTCTAAGAACTAGAACAAGACAAGGATGCTCACTTTCACTACTCCTATTCAACATAATGCTAAAAATACTATTTCCCCTAGACAGAGAAATCAGACAAGAGTAAAAAATAAAAGGCATTCAAATTGGAAAAGAGGGAGTCAAATTGTCTCTCTTTGCACATGAAATAATCTTATATTTAGAAAAAAAAGATTCCACCTAAAAATGATAAGCAAATTCAATAAAGTTGAAAAATATAAAATCAACATATAAAAATCAGTAGCATTTCTATAACCAATAATAAAACAGCCAAAAGAGAAATCAAGAAGACAATCCCATTTACAATTGCTACCAAAAAAAAAATACCTAGGAATAAATTTAACCAAGCAGGTAAAAGATCTCTACAAGAAAAACTGTAAAACACTGTTAAAATGAATTAAAGAAGACATAAACAAATAGACATCCCATGCTCATGGATCAGAAGAATCAATATTGTCAAAATGACCAATGAAATATCCAGATTCAATAAAATCCTTATTAAAATACCAATGTCATTTTTTACAGAAATAGAAAACAAAATTCTAAAATTCATATGGAATAAAAAAAGAGCCAGTATAACCAAAACAATCCTGAGCAAAAAGTACAAAGCAGAAGGCATCACACTACTTGACTTCAAAATATAGTACAAGGTTATAGTAACCAAAAAGCATGGTATTGACATAGAAATAGACACAGAAACTAATGGAAGAGAATAGAAAACCCAAAAATAACTCTACATATTTACAGCCAACAGACTTTCAACAAAGTTGCCCAGAACATACACTGAGGAAAGGATACCTTCTTTAATAAATAGTGCTGAAAAAAATGGGATATTCACATGCAGAAGAATGAAACTGGACCCTTATCTTCCACCTTATATAAAAATCAATTCAAAATGGATCAAAAACTTAAAAGTAAGACCTTAAACTATAAAACCACTAGAAGAAAACAAAGGGAAAACACTCCAGGATATTTGTTTAGGCAAAGATTTTATGGCTGAGACCTCAAAAGCAGAGAAAACTAACACAAAAATAGACAAATAGCACTATAGTAAACTAAAAAAGTTTTTGCACAGTGAAAGAAACAATTAACAAAGTGAAGAGGCAAACTGTTGAATGGGAGGAAGTAGTTGCAAACTATTCATCCAACCAGGGACTAATATCCAGAATATGCAAGGAATACAAACAACTCAACAATAAAAAAAAAACAAATAATTCAATTAAAAAGTGGGCAAATGACATGAATAGACAATTTTCAAAGGAAGACACACAAAAGCCAACAAGCATATTAAAAAATGCTCAACATCTCTAATCATCAGAGAAATGCAAATCAAAACCATGATGAGATATTATCTCATCCTAATGAGAATGGTTATTCCTAAAAAGACAAAAAATAAATAAATAAAAACAGATGCTGGCAAGGATGTATAGAAAAGGGAATACTTAACAATCGCAAAGGTATGGACTCAATCTAAGTGTTCATCAGTGGGTGAATGGATAAAGAAAATGTGGTATATATACACAATGAAATACTATTTGTTCATAAGAAAGAATGAAATCATGTCATCTGCAGCAACATGGATGGAAATAAAGGTCATTATGTCAGGTGAAATAATCCAGGCACAGAAAGACAAATACCACATGTTCTTACTCATATGTAGGAACTAAAAACCTTGATCTCCTGGAGGTAGACAATAGACGGGTAGATATGACACCAGAGTTTGGGAGGGTGTGAGAGTGGGCGGAGGGAGAAAGGAAAAGAGGTTCATGAAGAAGCACAAACTTACAGTTAGATAGAGGAAATAAGTTCTAATTTTCAATAGCAGACTAGGGTGACTATAGTTAACAACAACATATTGTATATTTCAAAGTAGCTAGAAGAAAGAACTTGAAATGTTACCAACATGCAGAAATGACAAATACTCAGTATGATGGATACCCCAAATACCCTGACTTGATGTTACATGTTCGATGCACATTAAAAATGCTCACATGTACCCCCATAAATGTGCAAAACACTATGTACCAATAAAAGGAAAAAAGAAATAGTAGAGGGTCTCACAAGCATTGTATACATGATTTGTTAGCAGAATCATGTTCGGCAATGCTTTTCAAACCGCAGGTCACTAACAATCAGTAGTCTGTGAAGGTAGTTTAGCAGGTTGTGATCAGCTTCTTGTTAACAAAAGAGAATTCATCCAGGCTGGAACAAAATAGAATTGAATTGAAAAAAATACTTTCTCACATGTAATATGGCTGAGTGTTGTTTTGTGAAAGTTCGTTTTAATTATATGTAAATGGGCTTTTTGAGCACATAATGAAATATGATATAAAAAGTATTTGTTATTATAGGTCACAGTGTTTTAAAAAAAAACAATGGCCTACAATATTGATTCTCGGGAATCCACCCAAAATTTCCAGGAAATAAAAATACCAGAAGAAAACAATGAACTGGAAAAACAATGAAAGAGAAGCAAAGAGAGAACCAATGACCAAAGAGTTGTTCCTTTGAAAAAAGTCCATAAATTAATAGTGACTAGCCATATCGGCCAAGATAAAAAGAGAGAAGACGCAAATTATCAATTTTAGGAATGAAGGTTAGAAAATTATTTCAGATCCTTCCTAGTCATTTATAAACATAAAAATAAATCATACATGTGTCATACATGACACAGCAGCAAAACTCACTGAAGAAGAAATAGGTATCTTGAATAAGCTACTATACATTAAAGAAATTGAATTTGTGGCTTAAAATTCTCAAAGAAAAATCTTCAAGTCCAGCTGGCTGTACTAACACGTTTTTCCTAACATTTCAGAAAAATGTAATATAATTATACACAATTTTTTCCATAAGATAAAAGGGGAGGGAATGACACCCAGCTCATTTTATAAACTCAGCATTACCTGATATTAAAAACAAAGACATTATAAGAAAACTACAGACGAAATATCCCTCACAGCATAGATATGAAAATATTCAATCGAATGCTAGCACTTACAATCCAACAATATGTAAAAAAAAGATAATATATCATTACCAAGTGAGGTTTATTTCATCGTGAAAAGATAGTTAAGCATTCAAAAGTTAATTAAATTAGTTCACCACATCAGTAGACAAAAGAAGAAAAACATTGCTCATCTCAAAAGATGCAGAAAATCACTGGACAAAATTTGAAATCCAACCATAACAAAAATTCTCATCAATTAATAATAGAAAGGAACTTCCTCAAACTGAGGGAGAGTATCTACAAAATGGGCTGCTAACATCAGAGTTAATGCTAAAAGACCAAATGTTTTGCCCCTAAGATCAGGAATAAGGACGAGAAGTCCATTCTTACCACTCTTTTTAGACACACTGAAAATTCTAAGTGCAATAAGAGAAGAAATTCAAAAAAAAAAAAAAAGACCTACAGATTAGAAGAAGTAAAAATGTTTCTCTTTGCAGATGACATGATTGTATGTTTAGAAAATTGTAAGAATCTACAAGAAAGGTATTAGAACTAATTAGTAAATTTAGCAAGGTCAATAGTTAGAAGGCCAATGTATATTTAATACACAAAATCACATTTCTGTCTACATTCTATATACTACCAGTAGAAACTGAAAATTTTCAAGCAGTGCTATTATAATAATAAGAAAAATAAGAAACACTTTGGTATAAATTTAACAAAATATGTTTATACAAGTGTACAATCTGCATATTGAAAACTCCAAAACGCCAGTGAAAGAAATCAAAGGCCTAAACAAATACAAGATGTTCGTTATTCAAGATTTGCAAGTCTCAACATTGTTATATTAATTTACTAACGTTAATCATAAATTAACCTTCCATAGATTCCATGCAATCTTACAAAAAATCCCAGCAATATTCTTTTTGGAGAAATTGACAAGTTAATTCTAAAATTTATATGGAAAAAAATCAAAGGAATTACAAGAGCTGATATAATTTTGAAAAGAACAAAGCCCAAGGACTTAATTATTTCATTTCAAGACACATTAATCAAGATGTATAGATCAAGATTAAAGTATAAAGCTACATTAATCAAAACAATGTCATATTGGTGAAAGGACAGACACATAAATCACTGTAACCAAACAAAGTCCAAATAAAGACTCACATATAAATTATCAATTAATATTTGATAAAGGTACAAAGAAAACTCAGTGCAGAAAAGAGAATTTTTTTAACAGATGGTCTGAAAAAATTGAACATCCATTTGCAAAATTTTTTAAATCTTGACCCATACTTCACACCATATGTAAAAATTAAATAAAAATGAATCATAAACTGAAGTGTAAGAAAAAATAAAAATTCAGAAGAAATCATAAGACCACAAATTGATACCTTGGATTAAACAAAGACTTATTAGATATGAAATCTAATCTCAATCATGAAGATAAAATTGATAGTGATTCATCAAAGTTAAGAACTTCTGCTCTTGTAAGACACTGTTCAGAACCTTAGAAGACAAGCTGTACACCAGGAGAAAATATTTGCAAAAGGCATTTCTGATGAAGAACCGGTATCCGAGATTTCTGCCTCTCTTCCCAGTGGGGTCACAACCTTCAGCCCACTCAGGATACTGGCAACAGCTGAGGTACTAAGTATTGGTAAAAAACTGAATGAGGGTAAAACAAAGTCCATAAATTATTAGATAGTCCAGAAAAAATCCTCCTGCAGTTCAAGGACCAGATAACAGCAGGAAATGCAGTTAGAAAGAATCACCTGGGCCAGGTGCGGTGGCTCAGGCCTGTAATCCCAGCACTTTGGGAGGCCGAGGCGGGCGGATCATGCGGTCAGGAGAGACCACCCTGGCTAACACAGTGAAACCCCGTCTCTACTAAAAATACAAAAAATTAGCTGGGCATGGTGGCGGGCGCCTGTAGTTCCAGCTACTTGGGAGGCTGAGCCAGGAGAATGGCGTTAACCCGGGAGGCGGGGCTTGCAGTGAGCCAAGATCGTGCTACTTCACTCGTGCCACTGCACTCCAGCCTGGGCGACCGAGCGAGACCTGCCTCAAAAAAAAAAAAAAAAAAAAAAAAAAAAAAAAGAAAGAATCACCCGGAAGTAAAAGGTAAAAGCTGCAATCTCAAATAAAATTACCAGTTGTGTTTTTCAGTTGTTACAGGAAGCAAGTGTCAAAACTGCTTTCACCAGAAAATGTGGGGAAACAGACAGCTTTTGCTGCTCCCGAGTGTGAAATGATTCCAACTGAATGGGTTTGCAGAAGAATAGCAACTGATTCTTTTTTCAAAAGAAATCCTGATGACAAGGAAGGATATAAGTTTTACCCACCTAAAGTGGAGATGTTTTTCAAGGATGATGCCAGTAATGACCCAGAGTCATCTGAGGAACAGCTAATTGCTCCAAAATTTTGCTTTGGTGAACTTCTCATAGGCCAAACTGAAGTGGATATCATGTCATATACTACATAGGCTCTTTTTTGAAATACTGGAGAAATCTTGGTTGCCCCAGAACTGTATGCTGGTTGATATGAAGATCAAATTTGGTGTTGATGTAACCCCTAAAGAAATTGTTCTTGCTGATGTTATTGATAATGATTCCTGGAGACTCTGGCCATCAGTAGATGGAAGCCAACAGAAAGACAAACAGCCTCATCAGGACCTCAAAGAAGTAACTCCTGAAGGGCTCAAGATGGTTATAGAAAAACTTAGAGTGGGTTGCAGAGAGAGAGAAGAGTTGCTTTTGAAATTAGAAAGTCCGTGCGGGATGGCAGTATTGGTAGGCTCTACTTCTGATCTTGGCCACTGTGAAAAAATCAAGAAGGCCTGTGGAAATCTTGGCATTTCCTGAGAACTTCAAGTAACATCTGTGCATAAAGGACCAGATAAAACTCTGAGGATTAAAGGTGAGTGTGAAGGGGATGGCATTCCCACTGTGTTTGTGGCAGTGGCAGGCAGAAGAAATGGTTTGGGACCAGTGACGTCTGGGAACACTGCATATCCAGTTATCAGCTGTCCTCCGCTCAAGCAGACTGGGGAGCTCAGGATGTGTGGTCTTCTCCTCGACTACCCAGTGGTCTCAGCTGCTCAACCACCCTTTCTCCAGAAGGATCAGCTCAGTTTGCTGCACAGATATTTGGGTTAAACAATCATTTGCTGTGGGGCAGACTGTGAGCAAGCGTTTTGAACACATGGATTTTCTTGAAGCAGGTTGACAAGGAAATCAGAGAACGTAATTTATAAGAAAGATTGTCATTGCTTTTTTTAGGGGGGAACTACAAATGTTTAGCTGCAGGAAAATCAAGCAAGATGAAAAGATGATGCTAAATTAGAGAACACAAATACAATGTATTAGTGAATAAATGCTTTTCCAGATCCATAGGTATGTAGAATATCTGTTCATATTTATTAATATCTCCTTATGAGCAGAGAAGTTACTATAAGGACATTTTCAAATTACTCTCCTGTCCACTGTATGGTCATTGTTAGGTGATAATATAATTAAAGAAATATCTTTTATAAATGCTAATAATGTTCTATTATAAAGCTCTAGAGTTATTACCTGACCTTCTGTATGTCAATCCATAAGTTTTAGAAAGTAAAACTGGCTATATTTTAGGTGATAAGAGCAATATAATTCTCATTCACTCTGTGGTCTTCACAAAATTCTAAGGGTATAGTTCTAAATTTTCAATTAGTATTTCAGAAAGTGATTTCTATTTACATGTATATCTATAGATACGTTTTGATTTTCTTTTAAGGAAAAGTTGAGATTGGGTAGAAAACAAGGTAGAGGAACACTGTTGGACCCACGGAAAGGGGACTTTTCTGAGACTTTCTCTGTTGGTTTTTAGAGCAATTTTCCATGGAAACAGTAGAGTTACCTTTGCCATGCCAAATGAAGATTTAGCGAATCTTACTTGGCTATGTAACAACAACAACAACAACAACACTCAATCATAAAATGAACAATTTGATTTTTAAGATGTTCAAAATATTTTATTAGACATTCTACCAAAGAAGATATGCAGATGGCAAATAAACACAGGCAGAAATACTCAATATCATTTGTGGGAAAAGCTGTCTTCTTTATATTTTCCCATATTTAATTTTTTTCTACTATTAGTAATATTGTATATTACTTCTATCAGAAAAAAATAATTTTAGAATTAGTATGTTCAATTTTATAATCATGCTTGTATTTTTTTAAATCATGAAGAGCAAACATTGCTGAGAAAATGACACCTATTCTTATGGATGATGGTTTTTTTTTCATTTTTTCACATTTTCAACTTTCATTTAGTGAACATATGTCACTTTTTATCCTAAAAAATTTTTTAAAATCAATTTTACAAGCATGGGATAGGAAAACTCTGTCTTGTTAATAAATGAAGTGAAAAATCTCTGTACCTTTAGTTGTTCATAAGTTGAAAATGAGTAACGTGATATATCTTTAAACACAAACTTCCATGTTAGCTACATTAGTAATGCTTCTTTCCCAGGAACTAATAATCCCCAAGCATATTCCCTTTTCATATCATCTCTGAAATAATCCATGCTATTCTGGGCACCATTTCAACAAGCATGTTGACCAGTTCAAGCTCACCCAGAGGAAAAGACCCAAGGCGAATATTCAGGAAAGAATGTGATATCAGAAACTCTAAGGCATCAAAGTCTGAGGAAAAATATGAAGATATTCTCTAAATACTTTCGAGGCTGGCATTTAAAAGAAAGAGAATGTCTTCTCTGAATTATCAGAAAACGGACTTCTATCAATTGTTAAGAATATCGTTGCCAAATATACATTCAAGAACCAGGAGAATGACAACCATATGGGTTCAGGGAACTGTTTGACCTATTTTGAGGCAAACTGGACAGGATCCAATTTGTTTCTTGAGTCTCAGGAGCCCTTTCTCTGATAGGGGGAAGCAGTGGTAATTGGTCATCCTCGGGAAATAGTATTTCCTCAGAGGCAGCATCCAGTAGTTCCTGAAAGTCTGGGGCATTTTTTCACAGCTATTTAAACCAAGTAAGTAGTACTAGAACCCTTTGGCGAAGGCTTGGAAGAAGGTTCATGTACCTCATTTGTGGTTATTATAGCAGTATTTATCCCTGAAGTAACCTAGTCTCCTTCATTGGAGGGATCTGGGTCTAATGGAACCATTTCTGGGAATTAGGTAAAGGACCATAATTCTGTCGTTGTGGCTCAACAGACCTCTGTTCATTGGGACTCGTATGTGTTCTAAAAATATAGCAAGGCTGTAATGGTATGCCTATTTTTTTTTTTTTTTTTTTGAGATGGAGTTTCACTCTATCACCCAGGCTGGAGTGCAGTGGCACAATCTCAGCTCACTGCAACCTCTGCCTCCCAGGTTCAAGCGATTCTCCTGCCTCAGCCTACTGAGTAGTTGGGACTACAGGCATGTGCCACCATGCCCAGCTAATTTTTGTATTTTTAGTAGAGATGGGGTTTCACCATGTTTGCCTGGCTGGTCTTGAACTCCTGATCTCAGGTGATTTGCCCACCCTGGCCTCCCAAAGTGCTGGTATTACAGGCATGAGCCACCGCACCCAGCCTATTTCATTTTTTTAAGACCCAGAATTGTGGTGTGTTTTTGGCACATGGAGTTAAATGGAATCAAATACATAGAAAACACATAATATTTCTGAGAGAATTATATTGGCAAAAGTGTCAGCAGCCTGGTCTTAAAAAAGCTGAGGCTGCACATGTATACATATGTAACAAACCTGCACGTTGTGCACATGTACCCTAAAACTTAAAGTATAATAATAATTTTAAAAAATTACTGGCTGACTCTCTTTTTGGACTCAGCCCACCTGCATCCAGGTGAAATAAACAGCTTTATTGCTCACACAAAGCCTGTTTGGTGGTCTCTTCACATGGACGCGCATGAAATTTGGTGCCGTGACTTGGATCAGGGGACCTCCCTTGGGAGATCAATCCCCTGTCCTCCTGTTCTTTGCTCCATGAGAAAGATCCACCTACGACCTCAGGTCCTCAGACCGACCAGCCCAAGGAACATCTCACCAATTTTAAATCAGGTAAGCGGCCTCTTCTTACTCTCTTTCTCCAACCTCTCTCACTGTCCCTCAACCACTTTCTCCTTTCCACTCTTCATTCTCTCCCTTCTCTTAATTTCAATTCCTTTCATTTTCTGGGAGAGACAAAGGAGACACATTTTACCAGTGGGCCCAAAACTCCGGCGCCAGTCACAGACTGGGAAGGCAGCCTTCCCTTGGTGTTTAATCATTGCAGGGAAGCCTCTCTGATTATTGACCCACGTTTCAAAGGTGTCAGACCACGAAGGGATGCCTGCCTTGGTCCTTCACCCTTAGCGGCAAGTCCCGCTTTTCTGGGGAAGGGGCAAGTACCCCAACCCCTTCTCTCCTTGTCTCTACCCCTTTTCTGCTTTTCTGGGGGAGGGGCAAGTACCCCTCAACCCCTTCTCCTTCACCCTTAGCGGCAAGTCCCGCTTTTCTAGGGGGCAAGATCCCCCAATCCCTTATTTCCATGCCCCAACCTCGTATCTCTGCGCCCCAATCCCTTATTTCTGTGCCCCAACCTCTTATCTCTGTGCCCCAATCCCTTATTTCCATGCCCCGACCCCCCTTCCTGCTTTTCGGGAGGGTAAGAACCCCCAAACCCCTTCCCTCCGTGTCTCTACGCTCTCTTTTCTCTGGGTTTGCCTCCTTCACTATGGGCAACCTTCCACCCTCCATTCCTCCTTCTTCTCCCTTAGCCTGTGTTCTCAAAAACTTAAAACCTCTTCAACTCACACCTGACCTAAAACCTAAATGCCTTATTTTCTTCTGCAATGCCGCTTGACCCCAATACAAACTCGACAGTATTTGTCCAAATAGCCAGAAAATGGCACTTTGAATTTTTCCATCCTGCAAGATCTAAATAATTCTTGTCATAAAATAGGCAAATGGTCTGAGGTGCCTGACGTCCAGGCATTCTTTTACACATCAGTCCCTTCCTAGTCTCTGTGCCCAGTGCAACTTGTCCCAAATCTTCCTTCTTTCCCTCCCACCTGTCCCCTCAGTACCAACCCCAAGCGTCGCTGAGTCTTTCTAATCTTCCTTTTCTACAGACCCATCTGACCTCTCCCTTCCTCCCCAGGCTGCTCCTCTCCAGGCCGAGCTAGGTCCCAATTCTTCCTCAGCCTCTGCTCCTCCACCCTATAATCTTTTTATCACCTCCCCTCCTCACACCTGGTCCGGCTTACAGTTTCATTCCGTGACTAGCCCTCCCCCACCTGCCCAGCAATTTACTCGTAAAAAGGTGGCTGGAGCCAAAGGCATAGTCAAGGTTAATGCTCCTTTTTCTTTATCCCAAATCAGAAGCGTTTAGGCTCTTTTTCATCGAATATAAAAATCCAGCCCAGTTCATGGCTCGTTGGCAGCAACCCTGAGACGCTTTACAGCCCTAGACCCTAAAAGGTCAAAAGGCCGTCTTATTCTCAAAATACATTTTATTACCCAGTCTGCTCCCGACATCAAATAAAACTCCAAAAATTAAATTCTGGCCCTCAAACCCCACAACAGGACTTAATTAACCTCACCTTCAAGGTGTACAATAACAGAAAAAAGTTGCAATTCCTTGCCTCCACTGTGAGACAAACCCCAGCCACATCTCCAGCACACAAGAACTTCCAAATGCCTGAACTGCAGCGGCCAGGCGTTCCTCCAGAACCTCCTCCCCCAGGAGCTTGCTACAAGTGCCGGAAATCTGGCCACTGGGCCAAGGAATGCCCACAGCCCGGGATTCCTCCTAAGCCGCGTCCCGTCTGTGTGGGACCCCACTGAAAATCGGACTGTTCAACTCACCTGGCAGCCACTCCCAGAGCCCCTGGAACTCTGGCCCAAGGCTCTCTGACTGACTCCTTCCCAGATCTTCTCGGCTTAGCGGCTGAAGACTGACACTGCCCAATTGCCTCGGAAGCCCCCTAGACCATCACGGACGCCGAGCTTCGGGTAACTCTCACAGTGGAAGGTAAGCCCGTCCCCTTCTTAATCAATACTGAGGCTACCCACTCCACATTACCTTCTTTTCAAGGGCCTGTTTCCCTTGCCTCCATAACTGTTGTGGGTATTGACGGCCAGGCTTCTAAACCTCTTAAAACTCCCCAACTCTGGTGCCAACTTAGACAATACTCTTTTAAGCACTCCTTTTTAGTTATCCCCACCTGCCCAGTTCCCTTATTAGGCTGAGACACTTTAACTAAATTGTCTGCTTCCCTGACTATTCCTAGACTACAGCTATATCTCGTTGCCGCCCTTCTTCCCAATCCAAAGCCTCCTTTTCGTCCTCCTCTTGTATACCCCCACCTTAACCCACAAGTATAAGATACCTCTACTCCCTCCTTGGCAACCGATCATGCACCCCTTACCATCTCATTAAAACCTAATCACCCTTACCCCACTCAACGCAAAGATCCCATCCCGCAACACGCTTTAAAAAGATTAAAGCCTGTTATCACTCGCTTGCTGCAGCATGGCCTTTTAAAGCCTATAAACTCTCCTTACAATTCCCCCATTTTACCTGTCCTAAAACCAGATAAGCCTTACAAGTTAGTTCAGGATCTGCACCTTATCAACCAAATTGTTTTGCCTATCCACCCCGTGGTGCCAAACCCATATACTCTCCTATCCTCAATACTTGCCTCTACAACCCATTATTCTGTTCTGGATCTCAAACATGCTTTCTTTACTATTCCTTTGCACCCGTCATCCCAGCCTCTCTTCGCTTTCACTTGGACTGACCCTCACACCCATCAAGCTCAGCAAATTACCTAGGCTGTACTGCCACAAAGCTTCACGGACAGCCCCCATTACTTCAATCAAGCCCAAATTTCTTCCTCATCTGTTACCTATCTCGGCATAATTCTCATAAAAACACACGTGCTCTCCCTGCCAATCGTGTCCGACTGATCTCTCAAACCCCAGCACCTTCTACAAAACAACAACTCCTTTCCTTCCTAGGCATGGTTAGTGCGGTCAGAATTCTTACACAAGAGCCAGGACCGCACCCTGTAGCCTTTCTGTCCAAACAACTCGACCTTACTGTTTTAGCCTAGCCTTCATGTCTGCGTGCGGCGGCTGCCGCTGCTTTAATATGTTAGAGGCCCTAAAAATCACAAACTATGCTCAACTCACTCTCTACATTTCTCATAACTTCCAAAATCTATTTTCTTCCTCATACTTGACACATATACTTTCTGCTCCCCGGCTCCTTCAGCTGTACTCACTCTTTAAGTCCCACAATTACCATTGTTCCTGGCCCGGACTTCAATCTGGCCTCTCACATTATTCCTGATACCACACCTGACCCCCATGACTGTATCTCTCTGATCCACCTGATATTCACCCTATTTCCCCATATTTCCTTCTTTCCTGTTCCTCACCCTGATCATGCTTGATTTATTGATGGCAGTTCCACCAGGCCTAATCGCCACACACCAGCAAAGGTAGGCTATGCTATAGTACAAGCCACTAGCCGGCCTCTCAGAACCTCTCATTTCCTTTCCATCGTGGAAATCTATCCTCAAGGAAATAACTTCTCAGTGTTCCATCTGTTATTCTACTACTCCTCAGGGATTATTCAGGCCCCCTCCCTTCCCTACACATCAAGCTGGAGGATTTGCCCCCACCCAGGACTGGCAAATTAGCTTTACTCAACATGCCCGAGTCAGGAAACTAAAATACCTCTTAGTCTAAATAGACTCTTTCACTGAATAAATAGAGGCCTTTCCTACAGGGTCTGAGAAGGCCATCGCAGTCATTTCTTCCCTTCTGTCAGACATAATTCCTCAGTTTAGCCTTCCCACCTCTATACAGTCTGATAACAGACCAGCCTTTATTAGTCAAATCAGCCAAGCAGTTTTTCAGGCTCTTAGTATTCAGTGAAACCTTTATATCCTTTATGGTCCTCCTAAAGGTCTTTTAAAAACACACCTCACCAAGCTCAGCCACCAACTTAAAAAGGACTGAACAATACTTTTACCACTTTCTCTTCTCAGAATTCAGGCCTGTCCTCAGAATGTTACAAAGTACAGCCCATTTAAGCTCCTGTATAGACACTCATTTTTATTAGGCCCCAGTCTCATTCGACACCAGACCAACTTAGACTGTGCCCCAAAAAAACTTGTCATCCCTACTATCTTTTGTCTAGTCATACTCCTATTCACTATTCTCAAATACTCATACATGCCCCGCTCTTGTTTACACTGCCGGTTTACTGTTTCTCCAAGCCATCACAGCTGATACCTCCTGGTGCTATCCCCAAACTGCCACTCTAAACTCTTGAAGTAAATAAATAATCTTTGCTGGCAGGACTATGCTGAATCTCCTTAGGCACTCTCTAATCAGATGTCCTAGGTCCTCCCAATTCTTAGACCTTTTATACCTGTTTTTCTCCTTCTCTTATTCCATTTAGTTTTTCAATTCATGCAAAACCATATCCAGGCCATCACCAATCATTCTATATGACAAATGTTCCTTCTAACAACCCCACAATATCACCCCTTACCACAAGATCTTCCTCCAGCTTAATCTCTCCCACTCTAGGTTCCCACGCCGCCCCTAATCCTGCTCGAAGCAGCCCTGAGAAACATCGCCCATTCTCTCTCCATACCACCCCCAAAAATTTTCGCCGCCCCAGCACTTCAACACTATTTTCTTTTATTTTTCTTATTAATATAAGAAGGCAGGAATGTCAGGCCTCTGAGCCCAAGCCAAGCCATTGCATCCCCTGTGACTTGGACGTATACGCCCAGATGGCCTGAAGTAACTGAAGAATCACAAAAGAAGTGAAAAGGCCCTGCCCCATCCTTAACTGATGACATTCCACCATTGTGATTTGTTCCTGCCCCACCTTAACTGAGTGATTAACCCTGTGAATTTCCTTCTTCTGGCTCAGAAGCTCCCCCACTGAGCACCTTGTGACACCCGCCCCTGCCCAACAGAGAACAACCCCCTTTGACTGTAATTTTCATTAACTTCCCAAATCCTATAAAACGGCCCCACCCCTATCTCCCTTCACTGACTCTCTTTTTGGACTCAGCCCACCTGCACCCAGGTGAAATAAAAAGCTTTATTGCTCACACACACACACACACACACACACACACACACGCAAAAAAAAAAAAAAAAAAAAAAAAAAAATTACCTCTGAGTCTTCAGTCTTCCAGAATTAAGAAGCTGGGTAAGGATGGAAAAGTAAGGGACTTCCAGTGTGCAGAACCAAGAGCTTGAAGAATAATAGATTAAGATGCCACTCCTAAAGAAAATAACTAAAACTTAATCATGAAACATTCCTTGCCCCAGGATAGAAGGACCCAGAAATATTTGTACAGCAGGCTTTGGGAACAACTATTGAGCAGTAACTGCTATATGCCTACCACTCTTTCTCTTTCTAATGAAAGTGTTTATTTCTGTTATTGTGCTCTCACGCCACAATTGTATGTTAAGTGTAAACAGTAAAATTGTCTTTATTATTCATAGGTCTCTGACTCAAAGAAAAGCACATCTAGATTTGCTTTATATCACAAGATCCTGGACTTTCTGGCCTGATATTAGGATTAGATGAAGTTGGAGGGAATATAAGCATGTGGATAATCATGATTAATAGGGAAGACTGGTAGATTGAAGTATTTGTCCAAATTCTTCACTTCCCTGAAATGGTATCTGTCATCATACATCACATGGCCTCGTGGTAGGTGGAGTTCCCTGTCTTCTCACTGTGAGTTTGGCTAGGTGACTCGCTTTGGCCAATGCGATATTTGATGAGACATGAGCAAAGGCTTGAAATTAACATATGCAGTTGGGCTTTCCCTACATCACTTTTTTGCCATTATTTTAATAAGGATATAACCTGAATAGCTTCTGCCCATCTGGCTTGGCCCCATAATTAAATGCATTGAACAGAACAGCTCCAGCCAATGCAAATCTGCAGCTTGAAGAAGAGCCACTTCAGTCACCCACAGATACATGAGCAAGAAATAAATGCTTATCACTTGCCACTGATATATTGTTTTTGTCACAATAGCTTTTTGCAGCAATAGTTTACTAATATTGGGGTCCTAGTCCTCTAATTCTTTCACAAAAGTTATTTCATGAAAATATGAAATCATATCATGAAGGAATCCATTACTTTGGCAGAAAAAGAAAACACCTAAATTTGTTTTTTTTCTGTTGTTGTTTCTCAGCCTTGAAACTACAAAACATAAGAAATTGTTTCAAAATCAAATAAACTACTGAGTTTCTGCATCAATTGTGGTTCTTTGGTTGTACACAATTACGGCTAACTTAAACAAAAGAGACATTCATTGAAACATTATCAGAAGTTAATGGAATTGACTGGAAGCCTGAAGAACCAAACTAGAAATCAATAGGAACCAAGACAGTTTCTGGAACCTAGAAGGCAAGAAAACCAGGAATGGCCTAATAGAGGAAGGAATCTGGTTAGAATGCTGTGGATGGGAGATGGATAAATTCCAAATATTTTCAGACCTGTTTTTACTTCTTCTGAGGATTCAAATCTCAAGAAGAAAGAATCAAACTGATTCTTTGGCATAAGAGAGAAAAGGACCTGAATAGGAGAGAGCAGGACCCCTGGTTACAGTTTCATCCAGCTAAAAAAAAAAAAAAAAAAGAGTTAAATCCTGGAAAAAAAAGTCTGGCTGCTGTCAGGAAGGAAAATGTATGTAAAGAAGAAAAGAACTGTCTTCTTTGCTTGGTAAACCTACACATGCCCCTCAGAGAATGGTGCCGAAGTACCTCCCAAAGAACTTCCATTTACCCGTGAGCTTTATCATATGAGTTTACACCTGCTTCTTCCCAAGCCTCACTAAAATGATAACTAAGAAACTGCAAAAGACATAACCTTCAATAATCAAAAAGAGACTGGAGATGACAGCAACAAAATGCTGTTTTGCAAAACAGATGGATGGGTAACCAACTTAGCAGACCAAGGAAAACAGAAACCTAAACTGTAAGTGCAGTAGCCCTAATGCCCAAATTTATACTACAGATTATTAGGAAGCCTCAGGAACTCAAAAACAGTCGAGATTAGAAGGCTGAATAAAGGCTGGTTAAAATGTCTGCACAGAAGCCGTTAGATCCCTGAAGTCAATGAGCTACCGTTACTCTATCTTTAGCGGGAACCAGGAAAAGTTGACCTAGAGCACTCTATACTCAGGGATGACACATGTATCCAAGACCAAGAGTCCTATGAAAACAGGGGCATTGACTAAGACTCCTTCTGTATCCCCACTCCAGGCCCCGTCCTCTCTGAGTTTCCCAGGATGCTGGCAGCCAGCTTACACCTGACAGGCTAAAGACTAGGAGGTCTCTTTCTGAGTATACTGACACATCAGTAGAAGAGACTTACGGGTCGTGGTATTTAGAGATGGCACAGTGAAGTAGCTGAGGCCCCACCCAAATGCTGAAGCCCACCCATCAAAGCTTCATCTGGGAATGCTGTGCTTCTAGATAATGTTTCTTGATTCATTTATGAAAGTGAACAAAGAGCTAAGCAGCACCAGTCATTTTAAAAACCTCTAATGTTAGAAAAATAAACACACAAAAAGCAATCTCAGGGGAAAGAAAGATATTGCAAAATACACATAATGCATTACCTCAGAGAAATTAGAAAAGATATTGCACCTATAAAATAAGAATAAATAGAACATCACATCATACAAGAAAAAGGAACATCAGAGAATAAAATGTTCTTTAAAATAAGAAATTTGAGAGTAGAAATGAAAATTTTAATGAAAATGTTGAGAGATAGAGAATACCTCCCATGAGTAACACAAAAAGAGAAGAAAAATTACAGAAAGTACACACTTAAAAAAACATAGAGGAGTGGCTGGGCGCTGTGGCTCACACCTGTAATCCCAGCATTTTGGGAGGCCGAGGCGGGCGGATCAGGAGGTCAGGAGTTCAAGACCAGCCTGACCAACATGGTGAAACCCTGTCTCTACTAAAAGTACAAAAATCAGCTGGGCATGGTGGCATGCACCTGTAATTCCAGCTACTCGGGAGGCTGAGGCAGGAGAATCGTTTGAACCCAGTGAGCCAAGATCACACCACTGCACTCCAGCCTGGGCAACAGAGTGAGACGCTGTTTCCAGAAAAAAAAAGAAAAAGAAGAAAGGAAACATAATAATTGGTGATAACAGAATAATCTATGACTCAGCTATGATTAATGTTAACATAGTTATAATCATGTACATAGTGAATATTGCTGTATGCCAAAATTATGATATAATTATTATATGGAGAAAGGAAATACATGTGTGTTTGTCTTGTATGTATTTGCGTTGAAGAGAAGAGGTCTAAAAAAACCAAATGCTCCTCTTCCACAGTAAAATGACGAGAAATAATACACGTATAAAACTGAAAAAAATTAGCTAGATTGACTGGTTTTTAAATAAAATGCAGAGATGCAGCTCAAACAGTTAAATTGAGAAGTCAGAAGTGGGGAATGGCAGGATAGGGCTGATGACTTCTTTTCAATCTTACCTAATTATTTTTTAATTTTGATAAAAATTTAACAGTCAACTAAAAAAGAAGTGTATTTTCTTGCCCAGAGCTTGAGGATGAAGTAGGGTATGTAGTAATATTCAGGAGAGGGGCTTACAAAGAATCACCCAGCTAGCAGCAAGGAGAGGTGTCCAACAGAACTGTGCCTCCTCAAGCTCTTCCTGTGGAATGAGGCCAGCTGTGGAAATCCTCATGGAGTGCAAAGGGCAGAGAGATTCCTCAGATGAGAAAACAGAAAGGAATGAGCAGATGCTGCCCTGCAGCCAATAGCTCTATTAGGAAACTTTCTCTGAGTATCTTGGAATCAGTAACAAGATTGAATTTTAGATTCAAGCATACATAGCAGTCTTTTAATTTAAGAGACATAACCCTGAAGATTGATCCTGAGGATGGATGCAGAGGATCGGCCATCAGGGGGAAGAATGCAGACTGCAGACTGCTGTCGCTCTGTGTGTCAAGATAAATAAGAAGATAATAGGCCGGGCACGGTGGCTCACGCCTGTAGTCTCAACACTCTGGGAGGTCAAGGCGGGAGGATCACTTGAGCCCAGGAGTTCAAGACCAGCCTGGGCAACATAGGGAGACCCTTGTCTCTACATAAAAATAAAAAATAAAAAAATAGCTCTTCCCTTTTGTGGCCATCACCAAAGCGGCAGTGGCCAAAGTGGAGTTCAATCCCTTTGTGACTTCTGATCGAAGCAAGTACCACAAAAGGCATTTCAATGCACTTTCCCACATTCTCAGAAATATTAGGTCTTCCTCTCTTTGCAAAGAGCTGAGACAGAAGTACAATGTTCAATCCATGACCATCCGAAAGGATGATGAAGTTCAGGTTGTACACAGGCACTACAAAGGTCAGCAAATTGGCAAAGTAGTCCAGGTTTACAGGAAGAAATATGTCACCTACATTGCACAGGTGCAGCAGGAAAAGGCTAATGGCACAACTGTCCACATAGGCATTCACCCCAGCAAGGTGGTTAGCACTAGGCTAAAACTGGACAAAGACTGCAAAAAGATTCTTGAACGGAAAGCCAAATCTTAGCAAGTAGGAAGGGAAAGGGGCAAATACAAGGAAGAAACAATTGGATAAAGGAATAAAGGAATCTTGTATACAAGCTTTCATCAAAACTTGAAAAAAAAAAAATAGCCAGGCACGGTGACATGCCTGTGGGCCCAGCTACTGGGGAGACTGAGGCAGGAGGACTGCTTGAGCCTGGGACATTGAGGCTACAGTGAGCTGTGATCATGCTACTGCACTGCACAGCCTGGGTGACATAGTGAGACTGTGTCTCAAAAAAAAAAAAAGAAGAGGAAGAAGAAGATAATAATAACACATGGTGTTTAGACCTGCTCTGTGCCTTGCATTGTACTCACCACTGCACAGAATTATAGCCCTATATAAGCTGTGTTATAAATTCATAACCCTATAAAAATAAATTGTAGAGAAGATTGGTTGAGCACTCACCGTGTCTCAGGCATTATGCCAATATTCCATTAAATCTTCACAACAACTCTCTGGTGGAGGTATAATTGCTATTATCCTATTTTATAGATGGGGATACTGAAAAACAGAAAAGTTCAAATTTGCCCAAACTCCCATAGCTAATAAATGGCCAAGCCAGGACTCAAAGTGTCTAGTTCCAAAGCCTGTGCATAGACTCCTCATGTACAACACTAGCTTATCGCAACAGATGACAGAACTTGGGCTTAGAGGATTGAAGTAACAAAGCCAAGGGTTCACAGCCACCAGGGAGTAGAACCAGTACTCAAATCCAACCTTCTCTGAACCTGAAGTACACCCTACATTTGTCTATCATACTGCCTCCATAATAGAGGAAAAGTCTAATTCCAATAGAATAAGAAAAGTAAGCCATCCTTTGTGTTAGGAGTAATACTCAGTGATAACGAATACACTGATCAGTGGCATAAAAGGGTATCAGCAGTATAGAGATAGAGAGAACAGAGGTTAACAAATAACCACCCCCAAACCATGGGAGTGTGGATGATGGGATGGGTGACCTGCATTTTCTAGCCACTTCTCAACGCTGGCAACTGCAGCATAGCAGTACAGGGGCTGGACTCTGAGGCCAATGACACTGCCTGCAAGTCCTGGCTCTGCTGCTTACTAGTTATGTAAGCTTGGGCAAATTACTTTGCTTTTCTGGGTTTGAGTTTCTTCATCTGAAAAATGCTAACGATAACGGGGTTGTTAGAGGAATAAGTGATTTAGTCATTGTAAGTTGCTGTAAGAACAGCTTGTATTAAATAATTCCTGACCCACACACTAAGTGCTAGCATTGATTATAAAATAATTGTGTTTTATATTAATTAAGGACTTCCTGAAATATGCTCTGCTCCCAATTCTGTGGCTAATTCTTGCTGTGTATTCACCTGCTTAGCCTTGACAGGAGGCTTGCTTTTGTTTCTGTTCTGCTCTTGGCATTCTAAGCCTCAGGAATTTATGTCTTTGTCTTCCGCCCCAGACCTACTGATTTGGATTTCTTACCTCATTTTGAGCAACCTGTGGCCCACGGCCTCATGCCTCAGATTCCCAATGAGTAGATCCCTAATAATTGCTCTCAGAAGTCCTTGTTACAAACCACTTGCCACTTTGACCCTTCCTTCCCTCCTCCATAGTAGTTCAGCTCCATGGATTCTGGCATGTCTGTTGGCATGAACTAGAGTGATTTTTTACTCACTGCCTCCTTACTCTGGGACTAAACTCTGGATCTGACATTTATATTTTAGGTTTGCACCTCTATTGATTTATCCCTCATAGTAGAACTAAAACTGGTACAGCCCTTTACAATTTACAAAGCAACTCCACAGACATTACGAAATTCAACCTTGACAACAATCCTTTGAGGCAGGCATTTTTATTGTTCCTAAATATAGAAGGAGGTTCAGGCAAGATAAATAATTTGACCACAACTACAAAGAATTACTGACAGAGATAAAACTAGAAATCAAGTCTTCTGACTACACACACTGTATTCTTTTGTAACTCCAATCTGCCCATAAGGTTTGCACACTCTTCATACCAGCCCTCCACCACCCAAAGCGCAGCTATACAAATTCCCAAGCTGATATGCCCCGCCTTGACTCTCACCTCAACTTTTGTACCTACATTAGCAGCTCTTGTACATAATCACCTCCACAGCCACATGAAGCTCAGCATCCTTTATAGCTCACTAGCACTGTCTATGTGTATGGGTCCATTTCCATCAATGGTCTCAAGTGTTTCCTTGACTCAACACCTCAGAATAACATTTGACTCCTGCCTCGCCCTCACCCATCACATTCAGTTATCTATTGAAGCTGAAGATCCTTCCTTTGTGTTGCCTCCCATATGTTTCTTCTTCTTTCCGGTCACGCACCCACTGCTCCAATTCAGGTCCTCATCACTTCACCCTTGAACTATTACCATAGTCTTCTCCTTGTGTTCATTTTCTCCCTTTTCATTTCATCTGAAAGCTACACCAAATTAATCTTGGTAACATGCCACTTCATCTCTCACTGAAAAGCTTTCTGTGGTTCTGCACATCCTCTAGGATAAGCTCTCAATTTCTTAACATGCTGTTTCCTAAACCATGTGCTGAGAAACACTAGACTCCCTGAATATTAATAGAAGCTTCATTTAAAAAAAAGAAAAGGAAAGAAATGCTACCTGCTATCACCACTTCTCCATGTACATGCACATTCACTAAGAAACTGAATATATTATCAAGACATTGGAAGTTTTCTTAAGCCAACGTTTTCAAAATGTGTTGGACCACAGAACACTTTCTTCAGTGAAAACTTAGGAATATTCGCTTGGCATTAACATTCCACAAAACGGTTTAAGATATTCACCCCTTCACCTCCTTGTCCCTTTCTAAACTTAGCTTCTGCTACTACCTTACACAAATCATTCCTGTCTTTACATTGGTTGCTAAGTAAATTGAACTAAGTCCTACCTTTAAGTTTGACACCACCCTTCTCTGACCACCCGAGGCATAAAGTGTCCCAAATTCAACTCACAGCAGTGTGGACCACATGTCCCAGTTTTTCTACATGGTCCTGGTTTTATGTAATTTGCCCTTCTTAATAAAGATGATTAAAACATAGCATGAAATGAACTTTTTATTTTGAGAGATTTATTTTTATTTAAAAATTTTTTATTGAGTTACAATTGACAAAAAAATGTATAAGTTTAAGCTGTACAATGTGACAATTTTATATACAGATAAAGTGAAGTAATTACCACAATTAAGCTTGGTGCATCCATCACTGATTGTAATAAGTTGCACATTAGAAAACAAATCTTTTCCTGAATTACATATCCCAATTTCCAATTTATATAGTTGGCTTGCTGTCATTGAGCACACCTATTTTTTGTATTGCTAATTTGAGGCACTCTATGTAGTACTACATTGTTAATTCTGTTTTATGTCTTTTCATATCTCTCCTAGTAGGTTAGTCTATTTTTCTCTAGTACTTATTTATCTCTCAGAGTTAGAATTTACATTGATTATAATAATGGTTCTGTGGCTACCTATTACAGACATTCAAATGGCAAAGTCCTTTTTACCCAAAATAAAAATTTCAGTTTTAAAGAGCAAGCTGACTGCCTAAGAAATGAAAACCCTGCTTTAATTTAAGGAATAAGGTCTAGTCCTTGGGCATCTCAAAGCCACAAAACTTAAAGGAAACCAAAAGCACTAGTACCAAAGTCCCTACTCTATCCACTTCCAGAGCCCTCTGGGCTTTCAGCTACTGCTTCTTTTAAAAACATACAGTGCTTCAATATAAAACAAGTGTGGGTACTAAATTATTTGTGGGTGAAATAATAGGATACTTTGGATTTGTCTTAAAACATTGCAGCAAAAATAAAAACACCAAAGGGCAGTGGAGCAAACACAGATTAAACATAATTGAAAAAATGTTGATAGGTATTGAATTGGATAATAAATACATGAGGGCTCAGCTCAGTATACTATGTTTGTATATGTTTGAAAATGTCTATAATAAAAAGCTCTAAAAATGTATAGGTGACCGATGTTTATTAAACAGGGAGGATGATGATGGCCCAAGTGCTTTTCCCATCAGCTCTGTACCCCTATGAGGTTCTACTCATTTCACTGCCAGTGGTCAGCTCAACCCAGCTCCTCACTTAATCCCACAGTCACCCAGCCTGCTTTCACTACCCCCAGGCCTCTGAGCAAAAACAACCAAGGAGTAACTTCCATCAAGAGAAGGTAAGTAAATGGAGCTAGGTCTCTTTCGCTTTATCTTTTTTCCTGTTTTTGTTTGTTTGTTTTTTATTTTTGTTTTGAGACAGAGTCTTGCTCTGTCACCCACGCTGGTGTGCAGTGGTACAATCTTGGCTCACTGCAATGTCTGCCTCCCAGATTCAAGCAATTCTCGTGCCTCAGCCTCCTGAGTAGCTGAGACTACAGGCACACAACACCATGCCCAGCTGATCTTTGTATCTTTAGTAAAAACGGGGTTTAACCATGTTGGCCAAGCTGGTCTCAAACTCCTGACTTCATGTGATCCACCCACCACAGCATCCCAAAGTGCTGGGATTACAGGCATGAGCCACCGTGCCTGGCCTTTTTTTCCTGTTTTCTATCTGTTCTTCTGTCCACCAACCTATCTCCCTCCCTGTCAGCCCACCCAACTGCCCACCTGCACATCTGCTGCCCTTCCTTGCTCCAGCTCCATCAGTTTTTGAACTAGCCAAAACTCTTTGGCCAACTCTGCCCAGATCTTCATAATATTTCACCTAAAACTAGTGCAGGTATCTCAGCTATCCATCAGTTTTTGTCAACTCTTTGACTAATATTAATAATATTTCTCTTAAAATCTTTGTTATTAATTGATGCCAGGAAAACAAATCTTCTGCTTTTCTCTGCCTTCTTGTGTCCTTTTGACTCTTTCTGACAATGTAAATCCTGACTCCACTGCTGCCCCATTCCGAACCTTCTGTGCATGGTCTACTTCCAAGATCCTTCAGATGGTGCCTCATGATACACAACGTCTGGCCTTAAAGAGGCAGGGGAGCATGTAATAGAAATGAACTTCTCCTATCATAAAAGCCAAAGAAGAAAGAGATTCAAGGATACAGTGATCAAAGGGGCAAAATGCATTAGAAAAACCTATAGAGATTAAGTAGCTAGAAGAAGACTTTGATAACTAGGAAATTATTACCAATGATTAGTTCAGAAAGAATAGAAATGGATTCCAAGTGCATGTAATTCAGTCAAGAAGAAGGCATAGATAACATGCCTAACGATAAGCACAATGATAGGCAGGAGAAAAATATGAAAGAATCTTTTACAGAAAAACATTCAGACCTGGGGGTTTTCAAGACAAATTAGACGTAGGCATATTGAAAGGCCAAAAAAGGAGCCAGTGGAAGAGACTGAAGAATCTAGAAGTCAGAAGGCAACAAAACAGGGCCTTGGAAGTGACAGAAAAGACAGAGGATGAAAATACATATCAAGGTGTTGGTCTTGGACAGGGTGAGCAGACCTCTTTTGTGAGATTAAAAGGTGTTACTTTATAAGGAAATCAATTTTGAAAAAAGCTAAAGATTACTTTTTGAATGGTTTCAATGTTCTCAGTAAAAATATATTAAATTATATGAGATGATACGTGTAAAATACTTGGCACAAGGCTTGACACATAATAAATGTTCACCATGTGGTGGTCCTAGGAGACTTAACAGTAGTGTAGTAGCATTGATAAGAACAGCAGTGAACATTTACTGAGTGTTTACTATGTTCCAGGAGCTTTCCTAAGCTATTGTAGTGGTAGTGGTAGAGGGAGAAGGAGCAGGAGCAGGAGCAGTAATAATAAATAAAAAACATCTGTCTGAGAATAAAGTGAGCAGGATTAGGCTTGAGAAAAGCAGAAGGTTGATTGGCAGAGATATAGAGATTTCATCAGCAACTGAGCAGACAATTATTAAGCATGTATAGGAACCCACGTGAACTTTGGCCAGGCACTGGTAATCAAAAAAGTTGCTAAGTGTCTGATCAGAAGTAAAGCTAATGGAGTGGCTGAAATTATAATAAATGGGCAGTCTTACTATATAAACAAGGGTTTATAGTTAAAAGGTTCAGGAGATATCTTAGAGGATTAGTGACAATTGGTCATGGGGCTTAAGGATCTCCTTGCTACTAGCTAAGCAGAGGAATAGAAATAGTAAAGAATGGGAAGCATGGTTAGCATATTATAACATAAATGCTGAAGTCACTGAAAATGTACCAGAAGACAGATGGACAGGAAAATTGACAACAAGTTTCCATAAATGAAGTATTACTTCATTTAGGAAACTGATTATGTGACTGCAAGTAGATCAAAAATATTGTCTGCATCCCTATATTGCCCAGCCTTTATTACCAGAAATCATCAAAGATGGTAAAAGTAATCTTAGAAATTTATAGACAATGGTAACAAGACTTTCTGATATCAACTCGTGATACCATAGACCTCAAATGAGAAAAATGGATAATAAGAGAAGGAACAATCATTAGAATGGTATTAGTTATCAATAAGCAATTATGAATTATGAATGGTATTAGTTATCAATAAGCAATAAATGAATTGATAGAATGAATTCATAGAATGAATGAATTCATAGAATGAATGAATTGATGTAAGAAAATGTGCAGCACACTAAATGTGAATGGAAATTATATACATGAGACTCACACTGACCCAAATCGTTTGTAGCTCCTAATAGTTCTATTTTTTAATTTTATTTACTAATTTTGAAGGTTACTGCAAATTTTATTTTTATTTTAGAGGCAAAAAAACTAACTTTACAACAATCAGCTTATAGTAGAATATTATCAGTGATGCAGGATTGCTCTTTTTATATCCTTATATTTGGTAGTATTATAATAACATTACATGCAGGTACTCACTCTTGTGTTTTTAACATACTTGGCATTTTGCTACATTTCTTCTTCTAACTTGTTTTACTTATCATCATATTTTTGAGATTTATTAATGTAGATGTACTTAAATGTAGTTTATTACTTCTAACTACTGCATGGTACTCCACTACTTGCATATTTCACATTTTGATTATCCATTTCTCACTAATGGGCATTCGAGTTATTTCCAACTCTTTGTTGGTTCAAACTGTGCTGCAGTAAGTAAACTTCTGAGAACTTATCTTTAATATATCTCCAGAAGAGTAACTGAGGGGTGTATACTCAGTAATGAAACTGCAAAGCCATAGAATATGAATATATGTAATTTCACTAGTATTATTAAATTATTCTCCAGAATAACAACATTAATTTATCCCTCCACTCTCAGTAGAGAAGAGTTCTTGTTTCTCTACAACCTCACCAACACTTATGCTTTCCAGCATTTTAATTTTTGCCAATGCAATGATTATAAATGGGTTTCTCATTTGTTCCTGCTGGATTCATTTAATATTTTACTTAGCACCTTTTAAGCACCAAGTGTGATGCTCAAATGTGTTAAACCACCTGGCTGAAGTTGGTAATGTAGCCTCAAAGTCACGTTTGGTAAATAGTTCAAAAAGTGTCACATATGTTTATTAGTGAATTTAAGAAAACAAGGGAAAAAAACTCCAATGGGTTGCAATTTCCAGCAAATTGTAACTAATAACTGTGAAAAATATTTCTGCTCAGAGGATCATGAGAAGGAACGTGGAACCAATGCAAGATAGATGTGTGAGCCAACACACGTGGCTAGCTTCATGTAAGCCCAGCATACTCTCCAATGTGTCTTCTTAGAGTCACACCTGAACTGACTACTGATTTTCACTTAAATCTGTTGAGAAAAAGGCAATTTTGCTTTTGTTTCTTAGCAACAGATAGCTTGATCCTGAAAGTCTAATGGTAAGACGTGGTTAAAATGAAGAAGAAAGAGATTGCATGGTAATTTAAATGTTACTCTCTACCTAAAAGCAATGCTGAGAAGACTCTCTTCAAAGACTTGTCCATTCAAATTCCTCTTGTTAAACAGTTTAATTGCATCCTGTGTCTAATTTTTAAATTAATTAGTGATTTTCCTTATATAGCTCTAGAATTTTTGTCATTAATGATGTAAATATCACTTCCTGGACTATTATTTTGACTTATGCTGTCCTGTGTTAGCCAAACTATTTATTTTTATAGTCAAATCCATCAATTTTTCTTGAAAAGTCCTATGTATTTTATATCTTCTTGGTATATCTGGAGCATTTAACTGATTATTTCTCATATAATTAGCCTACTTTCCATAGAACATTTATTTTAAACTTAAAACATTTTCCGCTGATTTACGATGCCATCACCATCATTTACCAAGTTCATGTAGAGATATCAGTCTGTTTCTGGACTGTCGATCTTGTACTGTATATCTACTTATTCTTATACAAAAATGAATGTATTTTACTAATTGTTGCTCTGCAGTATTTGTTAATATCTAGAAGGATTAGTCATCCTTTCTTCTCTCCACCTTAATTCAAAAGTTAAAATCTGTGTTAACTATTTTAGGACCTTTATTTCTCTCTATATATTTTAAATCAATATGGAATTTTTCCCATGATTCTTCTTGTAATTATTATTGGAAATGCATTAAATATATTCCAAACTTAGAAAAACCGATGTATTTACAAGATAAAGTCTCCCCATTCATGAACATAGTGTATTTCTCCATTTATTTGAACTTTCTTTCTTGTGCTTTACTAGGGCTTTATAATTTTTTTATAAATCCTATGCATTAAAAAAATTCATTTCTATATATTTTATGAGTGTGTTGCTTCTTTTTATTATGGTTTCTAATATAATATTGTTGATATAGAGAAAACTTATTTACTTTTATATGTTGATCTTATGTTAGAAAATTTTGCTGAACTTTCTTATTGGTGTGACTAGTTTGCCATTAATACTCTTGCATTTTAAATGTAAATGATCATATCATCAGCAAATAATTACAATGTATTATTTATAACAATTATTTTCTTTTTCACTGTATTGACTAAAATTGTTAGCACACTGTGCTGACAGGTATCACTTATACAAAGCATATATATCTAGTTCCTGACTTGAAAATAAGTGCCTCAGATTTATCCATTAAACATGAAATTTGTTGTGGAATATTTGTACATAGGGTTTATTAGATTATAAAATTCCTGTGTATTTCTAGCTTTCTAATAATTTTCATCTTTTTTTCATGTATATTGAGATGACTCTGTTTTAGATTTTCTGGAGTTGAACTATCTTTCTATTCCTGAGAAAATTGTAAAAATGTGTTGCTTTTTAAAATGTTGAACTTGGATAATATTTTTAAATGCTTTTATCTATAAAATTAGTGTATGCATTTTCTAAATTATGCAAATTTTATAAAATGAGTTGTTAATGTTTTCTTTTTTTCATTTTCTGAAAAAACTTACATAATATTTGGGAATCATGTGTCTCTTGAAACGTTGGTAAAATCTACCCATAAAATCATTTTACATGGGAGTAGTGAAGAGGGCAGAGATATTATTTTTTCATAGCCATTCAAAGCCATTAATGATTGTTATTGTAAGTTTTCTGCTTTTTAGGGGGTCAATTCGGCTTTTATCTTCAGATATGTGCCTATTTTATCCACCAATACTTTTTAATAATATTCTTTTATTATTTTTAATCTCTACTAGACCTATTTTAATTTCTACCTTTTCATTTTTTATTCATTTGTATCTTTTCACTTTTTTGCTCATTGAAAATTCCAGAAATTTATCCACCTTCTTAGAATTTTCAAAAAAAAAAACTTATGGTTTTTGGTAACAATCTCTTTTTTTGTTTCTTTTCTATGCTGTTTATTTCCTATGTATTATTTATTTTTAATAATTTAGGTTTACCCTATTGCTTTTTTCCATCATCTATATTTCTATAAATTTGTTTTAAAACATTATGCAAACCCTCAAAAGAAATTAACTTTTCCTCCTTAGGTTCATAGATAGTCATCAAATTCGTAATTTAACCAACCTCTTCTCAGCTGGAGTCAGAGAAAAGCAGTATCTTTTCTCTCTAGAAACAGGCATCCCACCAGTCAATCTGCAGTCTGGTGACAAATGGCTAAGAAATGTGGAGATGAGGTAAGCATTTCCAGTCTCTGTTCAAACACAGATCCCACAGGACTCTAAGTTTGAGGAAACTCACAGCAAGAGGAGACAGAAGTACCACCAATCAAGAATCCCAGTCCCAAATAGAGAATTCCATTTGTTGACAGAACTCTTCAACTAAAGCCAGGCTCCAGCCAAAGAAAACATGAAGAAGAAAACGTCAAACTCTTGGCACTGGTAAACTTTACTTTAGTGCAGGGCTTATACACCCTGAAAATTATGTCCAAGATCCTCCTGGCACTGTTTCCAAAATTCTGAACCATGACTACACTGCTGTTTGCGAATAATATCATCACATTCGTGACTCTTAATCGCCACGGAGGCCTGTCCAGCCCGAATCTTTTCTCAGCTGGTTTTCACTTTACCGGGAGACTATGCGCAGAAAAAGAATGAGAAGGAGAAGGAACTCTAAGTCCTGAAAGCTCAGTCCCAGGAAAAGTTGAGAGGGACTTCTAGATTGGAAATTGTGTTGATCATGGCTGTACAATATAATAGGTGATATTGGTGTGGTGCTTTAAGATTAACAAAATGTTTTCATGAATAGATCTCATTTAAAATCTCAAAACAATCTGCCAATTAGACACAGTGGGTATTAATATTCCTATATTTTAGTCATGTGATCTAGGTGAGGTAAATTCTTTCTGAAAGTATACATAGCCAAAAAAAAGCTGCCCAAATGAGTACCATTCAACCCTCCCCATTACCTTTAGCATAAGAGTTGTGTAGGGACTGACATAATTGTTTGTTATCAATAGGGGAAGTCACTCTACTATATCATAGAATCCTTATCCATGTAAATATTCTACAATGCTGTACATGTGCGAAGTGGGAGATAGGCAGAACACAAGCCTGTGGTTTGCTCAGCGGAAAAATGGAGACCACAGACTCTCCCAGGGTCTCTGTTTCTGGTTTTGTCTCATGTTTCCAAACTCAAGCACCTTGGAGCACCTGTAGTCCCAGCTTCTCGGGAGGCTGAGGCAGTAGAATTGCTTGAACCCGGTAGGTGGAGGTTGCAGTGAGCTGAGATTGTGCCACTGCACTCTAGCCTGGCGACAGGGCGAAACTCCATCTCATCTTTCATGAACTGTTTGAGAATATACTTTAAAAATATTTTCTGTTTTTTGCTTTTCTGTTTATCCTTAGAAATTACTCATATATTCTGAATTCTAATTTTGTATCTGTTCAGTCTGTTACAAATATTTGTCTCTCAGTGACCTCACCTTCTTTAACTTTATTTATGCTGCCTTTATGCTAAGAAGTTGTTGGTTTTTTTCTTTAATTCTATGTGGTTCTTGCAGCTTTTGTCAACCATTCTAGTCACTTCCTAGATTCCCAATGCTACTGTAGTTTGTGTGTGTGGGCATGTGGATGAATATATGCAGTCATTTTAATTAGCTGTGGAGAGGATATCTGCAAGTAACTGCAGCTTTCCATATTGAAGTTTTACTACCATTAGCTGAGGCTTTGCCAGGTGCCTGTGAGAAGATGCTAAGAACACTTCGAGTGGAATTTTTTATTATTAAGTCTTGTAGCTCAATGTCATTAACTCCCCAAAATATCTTGAGTTCCAACAGGTAACAAAAAGCCACAGGCAGAACTGATACCTGAACTCTATGACATTTGCCATGTGAGTCTGAAAATGGGATGACAAAACTAAGACATGCCATCTCCTCATTTTCATGCTGAAAAGAAATTAAAGAGAATCTGCACAAGAGTTACATTTTTCAATAATGTTTTACTACTGGAATAAATAAACTATACTTTTTAAAAAATATAACATTTAATTTTTAATTATAAGAGAAATAGATGTTAATTTTAAAATTCGAGAGAATAAAGTTTTATAAAGATAATTAAAATGACATAAAATCCCACCAGCCAAGACGACCACTGAAGACATTTTTTTTAAACAAAGATATTTTGATAAATATGCTTTAGGTTCTGCTTCTATGTCTGGTTTCATGGTTTTTTATTTTTTTTACCCCAAAATTTGGCTTATTCAGAGCATGGTATCCTGGAATCTAATTTTAAAACTTTTTCCATTAAGCATTTTTCAAGTTACCTAATAATTATTTTAATCACTATATGGTTTGCAATCTATTGTTAACCATAATTTATTTAACCAACCTCCTATTGCTTGACATTTACAGTATATACAAATTGTTTTAAAAAAATTCTTGAAATACAAAGCCTTTTCTTGATTCATTACATTTTGACCATTCCTTAAGAAGAAGTGAATACTCTAACCAGATCTAAGTGAAGTTTTAAAAACAGTGTGTGTTTGTATAAATCTTCAAGCGTAGTGTTAAACAATTTAATTGTGATGTGTTCCTAGGTCAGAACTACCCTACGGAGAGTCCAGATTTGGTGTTTTTACAGCCTTCCTTTGCAGAAAGTTAGATCGAGAAATTCATAAGCAGTACTACTTTCTCTGGGCATAATAAACTAGTTTTTCTAACTTGTTTATATGTTTAATTATTTTAAAAGTCAAGAAACTGAAGCCAAAATATTCAACACATAGTTGACTAAATGGGAGGAATTCCTGGAGGTGTTCATTTAGAAAATGTGGATTTTAAGATATGCAAGTAAGGGCACTACCTCTATAGCGTTTCCTCAAATCTATGACAAATTGATTGTGAGAAATGCCATTATTTTATGTATCACTAAGAAAGACCAGGCCGGGCATGGTGGCTTACACCTGTAGTCCCAGCACTTTGGGAGGCTGAGGCTGGCGGATCACAAGGTCAAGAGATCCAGACCATCCTGGCCAGCATGGTGAAACCCCGTCTCTACTAAAAATACAAAAATTAGCTGGGTGTGGTGGCACGCACCTGTAGTCCCAGCTTCTCGGGAGGCTGAGGCAGTAGAATTGCTTGAACCCGGTAGGTGGAGGTTGCAGTGAGCCGAGATTGTGCCACTGCACTCTAGCCTGGCGACAGAGCGAAACTCCATCTCAAATAAAAAAAGAAAGAAAGAAAGAAAAGAAAGAAAGAAAAGAAAGAAAGACTAAACATTGCCAATTAAATGATAATATGCCATCAGTTGTAAAAACAGTGAAAAAATATGCCTTAAACATGATAAAAATAAATGATATTAGCATGCTAAAATCCTAATATTAGTAAGAATGTGAAGATTGACATGAACCGTGCAATCTTCTTACCTGCACATAGATTTCTCTACTCAATGAGTTCGATTCAGTGGCTCATTAACTGACTGTAGCCTCATTGTTTCTCCTGTCTCTTCCAGGTATGGGGAGGATGTCAGGCAGGACCAGCAGCAGCTCCTGGAGGGGATCTCAGAGCTGGACATCAGGACAGGGGGAGTCCCCTCACAGCTGCTTGTACATGGAGCCCTGGCCTTCCCTCTGGGGCTGGATGCCTCACTCAACTGCTTCCTGGCGGCTGCTCACTATGGCTGGGGCCGGGTGGTCCTGGCTGCCCACGAGTGCCTGCTCTGTGCTCCCAAGATGGGGCCCTTCTTGCTCAATGCGGTGCGCTGGCTGGCCAGAGGCCAGACAGGCAAAGTTGGGGTGAACACAAATCTAAAAGATCTGCGTCCTCTCCTATCGGAGCATGGCCTGCAATGCAGCCTGGAGCCCCATCTGAACAGCGACTTGTGTGTCTACTGCTGCAAGGCGTACAGTGACAAGGAGGCTAAGCAGCTGCAGGAGTTTGTGGCTGAGGGTGGGGGGCTGCTGATTGGGGGCCAGGCCTGGTGGTGGGCCTCCCAGAACCCTGGCCACTGCCCCTTGGCTGGCTTCCCTGGTAACATCATCCTCAACTGCTTTGGCCTTAGCATCCTGCCTCAGACTCTCAAAGCAGGCTGCTTCCCCGTTCCCACCCCTGAGATGAGAAGCTACCACTTCCGCAAGGCGCTCTCTCAATTCCAGGCTATACTGAACCACGAGAATGGGAACTTGGAAAAGAGCTGTCTGGCAAAGTTGAGAGTTGATGGTGCAGCCTTCCTACAGATTCCTGCGGAGGGGGTCCCTGCTTACATATCCCTGCACAGGCTCCTGAGGAAGATGCTACGAGGGTCTGGCCTCCCAGCTGTGAGCCGGGAAAATCCAGTTGCCAGTGACTCCTATGAGGCTGCCGTGCTCTCCCTGGCCACTGGGCTGGCTCACTCTGGAACTGACTGCTCCCAGCTGGCCCAGGGGCTTGGCACCTGGACCTGCTCCTCCAGTTTGTACCCCTCAAAACACCCCATCACCGTGGAGATCAATGGAATCAACCCAGGTATGAAAACAGGAGAGAGTGCCCAGAACATTAAAGATGTAGGGGAAAGTGGGATTGGCTGACACTACACAGGACATTGCAGGTACCTACCCTCAGGAAGATTGACCCCATTCTTTTTTTTTTTTTGAGACAGAGTCTCACTCTGTCATCCAGGTTGGAATGCAGTAGCGCGATCTCAGCTCATGCAACCTCCACCTCCTGGGTTTAAGCAATTCTCCTCTCTCAGCCTCCTGTGTTGCTGGGACTACAGGCACACGCCACCATGCCTGGCTAATTTTTGTATTTTTAGTAGAGAGGGAGTTTCACCATAAAGGTAAGGCTGGTCCGGAACTCCTGACCTCAGGTGATCCACCTGCCTTGGCCTCCCAAAGTGCTGGGATTACAGTCGTGAGCCACTGGGCCCAGCTGACTCCATTCTTCATCAGGTACTTTCAAGAAGATGGGGATTGGGACACTGCTTAAGGTTTAGAGGGGATGAGTCTAAGAAGTATGGATGACTTGAGATACACAGGGGAGAAGCTGTACCACTGGGAGGGGCTGGGAGGCCCCAAGTGGAGATATACTCACATAGGAAGGAAGAACTGAGCCTTCTCTGTGACTTTTGTCAGGCAACAATGATTGCTGGGTGAGTACCGGGCTCTACCTCCTGGAAGGACAAAATGCAGAAGTCTCACTGTCTGAAGCTGCTGCCTCTGCTGGCCTGAGGGTAAGGTCTGAACACCCACATCTGCCACCTCTCAAAACCGTAGAGCTGTGTCATTCTCATCCACTGTCTAGTTCCAGCTCATGGCAATGCTGCCAGGAGTACAGAGATGGATTATTCTGCCCATTTTACAGATTTTACAGATGAAGCAGCTAAATTTCAGGGCATCTAAGTGAGTGACTGAAGTGCCTAGTGTTATCAAGCAAGAGAAGCTCACTGCAGAATGGACTAGAAGCCAAAACTATGACACTTGAGTTTTTCACCAAAAAAAAAAACAAAAACAAAAACAAAAGAAAACATTTTATTGCAATTTGATTAACAAGGAGACAGGAGCCCAGCTCAAATCTGTCCCATTGTACTTATTTTAAAGAGTTATTTTAGTAGAAAAGGTGTAGGGAGTGGATTCTGTGATTAGTAGGTGATTGACAGAAAGAAAAGGAAGGGCTGGAAAATCCTCGGGCATGGGCAGTTACCTCTTCATGCCTCCTCATGGGTCCCATGTGCAAACTCAGAGGGAGTTAGTATGAAACATGCGGTACAAATTTAGGCTGTGTGTCAGCAAGCTCATTCTGTACAAACTCTGGTTTTATCTCTTTATCTTGACACCTGAAGGGTGTGCATAATCCCATCACTCCCCAAAATATGCCCTACATGCAGAATTTAAATTCATCCTGCCTCCTTGACTCTGAGGGCCACTTCCTACCACAGCTAGGGTCCCTTTTCTGTCAGCATTCTTTCTGGAGCTTGCTTATATCAAACCTAAGAAAAGCAACTCCAGGACTCCAGACAAAACAGATCTCCACCCATCTGGCGGCCAGAAAGGGAAGCTCTGGGCAAAGAGGGAGAGAGAATCAACCTCACTCACTCTGGATGGGCCTCCTGTGTGTTCACAGAGGACAGAGCAGAGTCCCCCAGCTCATCCTCAATATCAGCGTCCCCAGACTGGCTTAGGTCCTGCTAGAAGAACCCAGGATTTTGCCTGGCAGAAAGACACAAGACCTTTGCCAGGATCAGCCTGGTCTCTCACCAATTCATGTCAGGTGAAGACTTATAGTGGAGCTGTTTAAATCCTTAGAAAAATGATTTTAAATGCCTTGAAGTCCAAATGACTTTGGAGTGCTAAAATTTCATAAGTTTCCATGCCTAGCACATAGAAAAGGGAAGCTGGGGTTTCATGGGCATGTTTGTCTAATACCTTCCATCTACACAACCTCACACGCACATCACAAAGCATCACAAAGACTCTAATTTCTCCAACGCTTGGTGGAATCACCTGTCCAGGTACAGATTGGCTGCCACACCGATGACCTTACCAAGGCCAGGAAGCTATCTCGAGCCCCCGTGGTGACTCACCAATGCTGGATGGACAGGACTGAGCGGTCAGTCTCCTGCCTCTGGGGCGGCCTCCTCTACGTCATCGTGCCCAAGGGCAGCCAACTAGGCCCTGTGCCTGTCACTATCAGGGGAGCTGTGCCTGCCCCATACTACAAGCTGGGTAAGTGGAGTGAACATTTAGGGAGGAGGAAGAGTGGCAGATGCCGTGGGAACTGTGGGGTGGTTGCTAAATGGGAGAGGGATGAGCTTTGGTGGAGAGAAAGAGGAAGAACTGTTGGGAGGGAACATGGAGGCAGAAGATACGGAATACCCTGTGTCCATGGAGACTTCAGGGCAGACAAAGAGAAGAGTCAGGAAGCCTTTTCTTCACTTTACAGCCTATAGACACCTGTGATAGTAGTTCATTATTGCAATGTTCTTCCAGAGTTCAAATGGTATTTTTCAGCTCAAGGGAAGTTGGAGAAGTGGGTGTGGTAGGTTCCATGATATTTATTCCCAGGTAAGACATCGCTGGAGGAGTGGAAGAGGCAGATGCAGGAGAACCTGGCTCCCTGGGGAGAGCTGGCCACGGACAACATCATCCTGACAGTGCCAACCACAAACCTTCAGGCCCTGAAGGACCCCGAGCCTGTGCTCCGCCTCTGGGATGAGATGATGCAGGCTGTGGCCAGGCTGGCAGCTGAGCCCTTCCCTTTCCGCCGTCCTGAGAGGATTGTGGCTGATGTGCAGATCTCAGCTGGTGGGTGCTCCCAGGGAATCCTCCTAGTCAGTGGAAACCATGTATCTATTACTTTGCCTTTTATGAATGTCCAAAATGTGTAAGCATAATTTTATTAGTAAAGCAAGGGAAAAAGATATAAAAGACATTGACCATGATGGGGATGAAAGAATGTTTACATGTGAAAAACAAATTATTGACATCTACAAGGTGAGATTTCACTGGATGGTAAAACAATCTCAGAAAACGTTGTATTGGGAATTCATAGATGGCAACCAGAGTCATTTCAAGGACAACATAGAAAATCAACTATTTTCTTCAAACATAAGCCAGAGTTGAAAATGAAAAGAGGAAATACGTAAGGAGGTTTATGGTAAGTACTGAGTGGTTAAAAAGAAAGAGGTACATAGGAAGAGAAATAAGGAACTCTGGATCCCAAATGGGGAAAGTTCTTTGGACCTCAATTTTCATACCTTCAAATAAGGACAAAAATTATCTCTGTCATAGAGTGTAAATTTGGACAAAAGTAGTATACATGGGGAAGAAAGAATGACACTGTTCTAGCCCTCAAGGATCTCAGATCCAGTCAGAGGACATCATATCTCAGACTGACATGTAAAGGACACTCACACACACAAAATGAAGGTGTCGAATTACAGCAAGAATGACTATGTAAAGTATAACCAAATTCTCCAGGGCCAGATTGAGGAGGAGGCCACAACTCAGGTGTGAGAGACTAAGAAGGGGATTAGGTACTATTCAGTTTCTGACCAAGTAGGGGAAAGCTATTTGCTTTCCAATCAGCACAGAGATTCTGCAATTATTGGGGATAACCAGGATGGTGAAGAAAAGTCCAATAATGGAGAAGAATGAAGGAGATAGTTTGGGCGGACCCTCCTTAATGCTCATCTCTTCCTTCTGTGTTCCCAGGCTGGATGCATTCAGGATACCCCATCATGTGCCACCTGGAGTCTGTGAAGGAGATCATCAATGAGATGGACATGAGGAGCAGGGGTGTGTGGGGCCCCATCCATGAGCTGGGCAACAACCAACAGTGGCATGGATGGGAGTTCCCCCCACACACTACTGAGGCCACCTGTAACCTTTGGTCAGTCTACGTGAATGAAACAGTCCTGGGGATCCCCAGGGCTCAGGCCCATGAGGCTCTGAGCCCTCCAGAGCGAGAGAGGAGAATCAAGGCCCACCTGGGAAAGGGAGCCCCCCTGTGTGACTGGAATGTATGGACAGCCCTGGAAACATATCTACAGGTACTGAGCAGAAATTCTGGGAGAAGGGGATGACCAGACCCCTCAGTCATGTAGCGACCTGGATCCCAGTAGCTCTCCACCTCCTTCGCCACTCCACCAGCCTGGACCTCCACCTCCCCTGGAAATGAGAGAGACTGGGCCGCAGGGTGGTGCTTCTTGGGTTATACCCCTCTAAGGCAGAGAGAATGGCACCTGTCTCACTCACCTTCTGATTTTGCAATGTAAGAGGAAATGAAAAATATTATGAAAAAAATAGAAATATAGCGTATTATTCAAGGGCAGAAACTCTGTTAGACATTCCTGCAGCTGAATCACAGCTCTTGCCCTCATTGGTTTTGTTCTTGGTCTCCTAATAAGTGTTCCATAAATGGTCATTGCTTTGTTTAGTTTTGTTTTATTTCACCTGAGTTTTATGAGTCAAATGAGTTATGCTTTTTTATAATAACGGAGGGTGTCTGCAATGCAGCTGCATTACAATAAGAAGGCATTGTTGGAGACAAATCTGCTAACAAGGGTCTCATCATCCATCACCCCACTTGAAGCCAAAATGATTTAAAATGAAGAGCCAGTCAACCCAATAGTAGAACACTGAATTCATAAAGCAAGTCTACTTCCTGTGAAATAAACACAAATCCCTGCCCCCTCCCCTAGCCCTGCATTGAATGTCGATGTTTTCAAGTTGTCAATGTTGTTCCCCTTTCAGATCTCCTGCAATGTCTCCCACAGCTCTATGGATAGGAGCTGTCTGGCCCACTTTTCACAGAGGCACACACTATTTTAAAGAATTTAAGCAATCTTTCCAGTAGCCCCCATTTAAGTGAAGGACCTAGAACTTAAAATCAGGACGTAATGACAAGCCCCAGGCTTTCGCATTGCCATACCCTCTCTTAGTTTTTTGTGCCTTTCACTAATTTTCTGAAGAGTGAATGTGAGACAGTCCCAGTCAATGAGGTAACTTTGTATTGCATTCATTTCCATATCCTTAGATAGCCAGTCTGGGGGTATACAGGACCACTGACCACAATGGTAGGTTGCCCCTAAACTGTAAGTTTAAGCCCTAATTCTGTCCTAGTCTGCTACCTACTCACTGTGGAGCCCCGAATATCAGTTCTCAATAGCTCTAGAGAGACCAAGTCTGAGACTTGGCCTCAGGATAAACAGGCACCTTCTGACTCCTCTTCCTGCTAGAGGGCTTCTCCCCAGCATCCGTGCCACTGCTGCCTTAGCTCAGGCCTCGTTAGTCTTCCCTCAGTGTATTCCAGTAGCCTTCTAAGTTGTCCCAGCATCTTGCCTCAATCCTCTATGATCCATCTTCCTTACACTCCTTCCAAAATAATGTTAATACTCTGTCTATCAAATGCTTACAGTGTTCTCTAGCACATATAGGGTAAAGTCAAAGCTCATTAGCAGGGCATAGGAGGCCCTTCATGACCAGCCTCGCCAGCACCTCTAGCTACATCTCCTACTGCTCTCACCTCCACATTTACCCTTCGGCATGCCAACCTGCTTATGGTTACGGACACAGCTTGCTGTTTTGGCTTCTGTGCCTCCCCTTGTTTGCTTCCTGCTGCTGAATCATGCTGGAACATCTTGTCCATTAGCTGTCAAGTCACCTGTCCAAATTCAGCTCTGTTGGCCCTTTCTCTCCTGGACATCGCCTCCTTGATAAACCAACAGTTTTACCAATGTGTTTATTTACGTGTGTTTCTCCCTTTGGCCAGTGTTCTCTAGAAGGACAAGAGCTCTTAATGATGTTTGCCTAGCACAGTAGCTGGCGGTGTGTGGGTGTCTAATACATGTTAAACGTTTAATAAATGCTTAATTTATTGATGTATTGATTAATAAGTGTCAAAGAGCAAGCCAGTGAGAACAGATGAGCAATAATAAGGATACAACAGTGAGACTCTGAGGTAGGCTTGGCTTCGGTGGTGTTATCTGTCCTTGGGCTTTTATGAGCTACAGTCAGAGAATGCTCATCTATTAAAGGGAGAGTGGGGATGTGAAACCCCAGATCCCCGCTAACTGGAAATTTGTATAATCTTAGTAAACAAGGGCCTTCTGCCAAGGGCTTTCCGGAGAGCTGCCCCTTATGAAGTATGAGCCACTCTCATTAGCTGCCCCTTATGAAGTATGAGCCACTCTCATTTTTAGCCCCTCGAGACAGGCTGGATTTTTTTCTTTTTCTGCCCTAAATGCAGTGTTCTACAGAGCAATTTTGTATCATTGCAGATAGCCACAGGTCCAAGATGGCTATTAAAAAATAAGGATTATGATGATGTCTGGAAAGTATAGTATTGGAGGTTCGCAGCTTTTAGAATCTCAATAGGCCAGATATGTAGGAAGTGAGGGTTTCTCATCTCAGTCAGGCCCAAACCTGTCCTGATGCTGAGGAAAACACTTGAGATCTGGGAAGACAATTGTTTAAAGATACTAATAGTGGACATTTATTGAGTATTTACCTCTATTCAGACATTAGGTTTCCCCTGAGCACCCCCACTAGATTCAGGGGGTGTTGTTTTGTGGCCAAGAGGAGGAATGAGCCAACAAGATTGCATTATTGTGCAGGGGCAGAGTGGGGAGATAGGGGCACATACCCAGGATGAAGGTAACGATTGAGGGGAGGTGATCATGTGAATGAAATATATTTAAGAACGCACATGTCACGTCACTTTTGCAAACTTGACACCTCATTCTGTTCCTTCTTTCCCTTTTCAGCTCCAACAGGCCTTCGGGTGGGAGCCATTCACCCAGCTCTTTGCTGAGTACCAGACCCTCTCTCACCTCCCCAAAGACAACACTGGCAGGATGAATCTATGGGTGAAGAAGTTCTCTGAAAAAGTGAAGAAGAATCTGGTTCCCTTCTTTGAGGCCTGGGGCTGGCCTATCCAGAAGGAGGTGGCTGACAGCCTGGCCTCCCTACCAGAGTGGCAGGAAAACCCCATGCAAGTGTACCTCCGTGCCAGGAAGTAAAGGATGCCCCACAAGGCGGGAGAGAAAAGGCAGGGTCACGCCATCAACTCCACCATGGGGCTTTGGCCGTGTGCTCAGTATCTGGAGCCTGAATCCCGCTTCCAAGCCTGACCACTAGATGGTGGCCACGGTCATAAGAAAAAATGGAACCCCTTTCTGTAAAAGGTGCCTTGTGCTTCTTTTTATTGTTTTTCTGCCTACGCTATTGCTTTCCCCAAGAGACTCACTTCACCTCTTAGTCTTCCAGAGAGGATCTTTCATCCTGCCATCCTGAGGCTTCTATTTTTGACCAATAGCTCTAAAGACCACGGGTTCCCATAACAACCTGATATCCCTTTCTCATCCCTGCCATCCCTGAATAAGGCTTCTAATTTATTATGCTTTAACAAGTTTTCAAATAGCAAGCGAGACACGCTGGAATAGTTGAGAGAGCCCCAAACACTAAATAAGCCAAATTTTGGGGTAAAAAAAATAAAAAACCAAGAAACCAGACATAGAAGCAGAACCTAAAGCATATTTATCAAAACATCTTTGTTTAAAAAAAATGTCTTCAGTGGTCGTCTTGGCTGGTGGGATTTTAGGTCATTTTAATTATCTTTATAAAACTTTATTCTCTCGAATTTTAAAATTAACATCTATTTCTCTTATAATTAAAAATTAAATGTTATATTTTTTAAAAAGTATAGTTTATTTATTCCAGTAGTAAAACATTGTTGAAAAATGTAACTCTTGTGCAGATTCTCTTTAATTTCTTTTCAGCATGAAAATGAGGAGATGGCATGTCTTAGTTTTGTCATCCCATTTTCAGACTCACATGGCAAATGTCATAGAGTTCAGGTATCAGTTCTGCCTGTGGCTTTTTGTTACCTGTTGGAACTCAAGATATTTTGGGGAGTTAATGACATTGAGCTACAAGACTTAATAATGAAAAATTCCACTCGAAGTGTTCTTAGCATCTTCTCACAGGCACCTGGCAAAGCCTCAGCTAATGGTAGTAAAACTTCAATATGGAAAGCTGCAGTTACTTGCAGATATCCTCTCCACAGCTAATTAAAATGACTGCATATATTCATCCACATGCCCACACACACAAACTACAGTAGCATTGGGAATCTAGGAAGTGACTAGAATGGTTGACAAAAGCTGCAAGAACCACATAGAATTAAAGAAAAAAACCAACAACTTCTTAGCATAAAGGCAGCATAAATAAAGTTAAAGAAGGTGAGGTCACTGAGAGACAAATATTTGTAACAGACTGAACAGATACAAAATTAGAATTCAGAATATATGAGTAATTTCTAAGGATAAACAGAAAAGCAAAAAACAGAAAATATTTTTAAAGTATATTCTCAAACAGTTCATGAAAGATGAAATCCAAGTGAGATATTCAGCATTTGAAAAGATATAATCACACAAATGCAAATTATATATAATAACATATTTTACCCAGAAAATTAGTAAATGTTTCAAAAGCTGACAATATTAAGTGTTGGCAAGAGTGTGGAGAAAACTAATCTTTCATAAAAACTGGAGATCATTTTGGCAGTATCCAATAACATTAAAAAGAGAAACAGCCTATAGTAGTATAAATGGAGGCAGTACTAGGAAGTTCATTGCAAATTGTTGGTAATAGTGAAAAAATATGAAGAAGTTAAATGTTTACTAATATGAATGCAAATAAAAATTGGCATTTAATCATATGATGGATTACTATTTATCAGTCAATAAGAATAGGTCCACCTATGTTAATTAACAAGGAAAGATGTTCAAAACATATTTGTTGAGTAAAACAATTTCAAAAATAGCAGAACTTGGTGATGCAACTTATGGAAGACACAATATAAAGCAAAGTAAACATACGTCAATATATGTCCAAAATGTCAGGGAACAACCACAATAAACTGATAAGAGTGTTTTCTTTTGGATTTTGAGATAGAGAGAAAGGACTGACATTGAAGGAGATGATGAAAAGGGCTTTTGCCTCAATAATTTGTTTCTTCAAATAAGGAGAATGTACAATTATATTTCTCAGGTAATCAAACATTAAATTTAAAATTTAAGATAACTGCTCCAAAAATAGAAGTAAAATGTATAATCTACAAATGTGTTGAGGAAATTTAAGAAATGGATAAAGCTTAGTAGCAACCAAGGAAAAATGTAAAAAGAAATAAAGCATAAAAATAGAAAATAAAATTAAAAGGGGGTAAGAGCAAGAAATACATTTGAATCATCACAGTATATATGAATGCATTGAATTTCCATCTCACAGAAGCTGTCAGATTGGGTTAAAAACATCTGGATATAAGCTGCTTATAAAAGACACACCTGAAACTAAACATAAAAGCATTGAAAATGACAAAATCAACAAAGTTTTATTTTAAAAAATACAAAAACAAAAAAGCAGACATATCAGCATTAATAAGGGATGCAAGTGATTTCAAAGAGGAAAAATTAAAAATGAACATTTTCTATGGATTAAAGTTACACTCTAACAAAAATAAAATTTTTATTAATTTTTATGCCCTGCAAAAACACAATACTGAAAGCAAGAACTGCTACAAAGAAAATAAAAATATGAATTGACATTACATTTGGAGATGGTAATGTATTCACAGCATCCATTGGAAAAAAAAAAAGGATGGAGATGATTTGATCAGAATGACTTACAAGCTTACTTACAGCCAGAAGACAATTGTCCTGCATCCTGAAGACAAGACATTGAGACCCTAGAAGGTTGTGTTCTGCTAACTTGTTGCAAAAATATGAAGTAAAAAGGCAGACATTCTCCAACATGATACATTAACTAAAAAATCAATGTGCAGAGCACACACACACACATAGATAAGCATCTGAGATGATCCATGTCAAACTTTTAGGATTGGCTACCTTGGTCCAGAGGCATGAGACTGGAGCTGGTGGTGTGGTGAGGAGGATGAGTTGCCATTTTCCTCTCTATATTTCTGTATTGGTGTGCATTTTTTCAAAATAAACTTGAATTCCTTTTGAAATATTTTCATAAAAAGGCATTTCTTAAAAGAAAACTAAAGAAAGAAAGGAAAGGAGGAAAGAAGGAAGGAAGGGGATGACAGAGGGAGGGAGGGGGAAGGGAGGGGGAAGCAGGGAGGGAGGGAGGGAAAAGTGAGTAAGCATAGCAGTTAGTATATCAGGTAAATTTCAACAGCTGATTTGACAATATCCTAAGGGCAATATTAATGATCTCAGACAGCTAGTTACCAATATTTAAATCTTGTATAATATCTGTTTACAATGTTTAAGTGTGGAAAACAATGAAAGTAGCTGCTATTTAATAAGGTTTAATATATGTTAGGTATTTAACATATGTATTATCTCTTTCAATCATTATAATAAACCTGAAAGTTACTATTCTCACTTTAAAGATGGAGTTTGGAAAAGCTAAGCAATTTTCCCCACGTTTCCTAGCTAATAACTGGCAGGGACAGGAAGCAAACCTGACAAAGCAGGAGCATCGTCATCTTGGATAAACACCGCTAATTTATGTTTCAGCTCCCTTTCTAGCCCCATGCATTTCCAGGAAATCACTTCTCTTCTAACTACAAGCAGCCGGAAAGAGCAGAACGGTAAAACACAGATGAGACAGCTCGGGCACAGAGGGAGGAGGGAGCAAAGTCTCTTGGGTAACTGCCAAACTTCATCCTCATACAATGGGCCCCAGTTAAACAGTGGGCCTTAATAAGAACATTCCTTTCCCTTTGGGTGCACTAAGTTAGGGAAGTTAAAAGATAGGAAGCTAAAAGTGGGGTATGCCTGCAGCTGCAGAAAGATATATGGGAACAGAGATACAACTCTCCCTCTCAGATAAGCACAACAAAGAGACACAGAAGCAGTCGAGGCCTCTGATAAACTCTCCCACCTTGAATCCTTAAAAACTCTTAGTCTGTAAGGGAGTATGCCTCTGACCTAACTCGGCCAGATGCCCCTCCCATGTTTATTTTCTCTAAATTAAACCTGTCTGTGACTGTCAAGCCACCTTTTGTATTTCTTTCCTATTTCTTTAATTTTTACTAAACCCAGGCTGGCTTGCTTCCAAAGCCACCGTTGTCTACACACCAGAACTCTCTCACTCAATTACTGAGTCTTTGACGGAACCTACATCTGGGTACATGGTTTTCGACAGGTATATCTTGTGCAAAGGAAGCTTTACAGGATGCAAAGGTGCGAACAATACTGTGTTTAAGAAAGGAAAAGCATGTGTTACTTCAGAGCTGGAAGTGCAGGGGAAGCCACTGAGGACTAAAGGAAAGGGATGGGATGGTATGGTTAGGAAATGTTCGCAAACCACATCTGAGCAGACAGGTAACATGGGCGATAGGTTTCTGAATGCCAATTAAAAAACTGCCAAATTAGGAAGGTACAGCACTAAATAAAAAGGTAAGTGTGAAGTGCGCTGCTGTCATTTTCACCATATTGAAGGTAAAACATCTAACAATTTATATATTTTTTCTTGAAAATAAAAGTAATGAAGTCTACTGGTAGTAATCAAATACATCTTCACTTAGCTTGTTTTGTTTTTCTGTTGAGATTGTATAGAATGTAAAAATACTCTTCTGGATTTATTTCACTCTCTGATAAATATAAACAGGACAGAAATACTAGAATCTAGAAACGATGTTTTCTTAGGATCTATAACATCAAAAAAAGAACTAGAGAGAACTATGTTGATCAGATGCTGTAAAAAACATTTTGAAGACCTGCAGCCCCCAACACTTGAGTATCTTTTTTTTTTGTATTTTTAATTTCTTAAATACAGATAAATCATAGTAAATAAGAAAACTTTAAAAACTGTCTCCATCATCACTGAACAATATGGGCATTGATAATCAGAGAGGTGCCTTGAAATTGTAAATGTATTTTTTTTCTTTTATTTTAAGCTGGTAAATACAGGGTAAAATCTCTTTAGATCTCAATCATGCCTATTAGACACACAATTTTATTTAAACTATTTAACCTGTCAGATTTAAGAAAATAATTTGGAAAACTCACTTTTGTAACAAATTGCAGGTACAAAAATTACTCATTTGGAATAGTCAGAATACAGATGCTACTCACCTGTGAGCACAGATATATTCATATTTCTATGTCAGACCAAAATCCTGCTTAAACACACAAACATTCCTAACAATGTCATAATGTTTACTCTTTCTCCTGGCTTAATAAACTATATTTCTGATATTATTGGAAGATTATTGTTAGAATTGAAGGAGATAATACAGGTTGAGCAGCCCTTATGGAAAATGCTTGGGACCAACCAATAGTGTTTCAGATTTTGATTTTTTTCAGGTTATGGAATATTTGCATACACATAAGGAGATACCTTGGTGTTGGGACCCAACTCTAAACACAAAATTCATTTATGTTTCCTATACACCTTTACACAGAGCCTAAAGGTAATTTATACAATATTTTAAATAAGTTTGTGCATGAAAAAAGTTTGTGTACATTGAACCATCAGAAAGCAAAGGTGTCCCCAAAGTGGGATTTTCCACTTCTGGCATTATGTTGGTGGTGCTCAAAAAGTTTTGAATTTTGGAGAATTTCAGATTTTTGGTTTTTGATTAGGCCTGGTTTCTCCGTCTTAGGGGACCTAATAAGCTAGGCCCACTTCCACCAAACCACAGATGGAACTCACATGGGGAGTTTACACTTGAAAGCTTTTTTTCTTGTCTATCCACCCAATTTGTTCACTTTTCTATGTATTAGAAAGCATTAATGATAACTATTGAATTTGTGATTTTGAATATTTTCTTTCCATTGTACATGGAAGGTTGACTGGTGTTAGGAGATACTCCATCCTGGGCCACCCATCAATCACCTGTTCTCCTTGGCCAGTGCATAGCAATGTATGTCATCATCATAAAAACCTTCCACATCCAGCCATTTATTAATTATTTTTCATTCATTTTGTCAGATTTGGTGGAGAGAGCAATTCTGGGATCTAGTCTCATTTCAGCTTTTACCTGGAAACTACATTCATGGATCTTGAATATAAACCTCATAAACCTTCCACACAATTATCTCTGTCTCTGAGTCAGATTCCCAGGAACCCAAGCTGAAACAAGTGGAATTTAGCAGCGCCTAGCAAAATTACGTATGAATTTCCTCCGTGACTCAGAAATCCCATTTCCAGTGATATGGCAAAATATAATGATACATACACAAAGGTATGTGGTGCTTGTAACTTGGAACTCCTTGGACAAAGACTTTCCTACTCTACAGGACTGTGTTGAGGACAGAGAAAATAAATAATTCTCAAGACAGTCATAAACCTAAGCCACTAGTACATATTTACAATTTTTACTTACCAAATAGTGACAGGTTCTCACTATGTTGCTCAGGCTGGAGTGCAATGCGTATTTGCAGGTGCAATTACAGAACACTGCAGCCTTGGATTCCCAGCCTCAAGAGAGCCTCCTACCTCAGCCTCTCGAGTATGTGAGTACCTGTGCATCAGCATGCCCAGTTACATATTTACTTTTATATGGGCAGCTGCTAACATATTTTAGAGCTTGTAGATTATACCGTGTGTAAGTGTAATGGGTGGCTGCTTAGTATCTGAGGTTAACTTTTCTTCCAGACTCTTCTGTCATGGTATAAAGGTAGCAAGTGCCTTTGGATTTGCTTTTAAATATTAAAGCAACTGCAGTATACTCCTGTTATATAAACATAGGTGTGCCCTTGGGGATAGGATGTGAGAGGAGCTTTTGTTGGTGTTTAGAGACTGCCCCACTCCTTGGCAGGCAGAGTTGGGGCAGGCCAGCAATCAATTCTCTTAAGAAGCTCCAGGGCCTTCCAGCCGAGATTTAAAGTTAAGGAACCTGCTGGGTCAGTCCAAGCGCCTTTGACCAATATTTGTGGCAGGAATGTTCACTGAAAACCTCTAATGGGACTTGCTCTGAAGGCGGGAGGAATCTGAGCCAGAGACTCAGACTCTGACCTTCTGAGACTCTCAAGGAGTTGGTTCCCTCTGGCTCTATTGTTGGCTGAGGCTGGAAGGCTCTGGCGCAACCCCCAGCCCTATATTCCATAGTAGGAAGTTGTCTGCAGGATTAACAGTAGTATATGAGGCTGTCTTTTCTCTTGTTATGGTTTTGGATGTGTATTCATTCATATTTTTTCATTAATTTATATAGTTTACAAATATTTGTTGATCTCTAATGTTAAGTACTCCAGGCACTGAGAATAAAGCAGTAAACGCAACAGGCAAGATCATGGAGCTCTATATTCTGGTTGGTTAGACAGGCCCTAGCAAGAAACAGCGGAGATAGTTATAGAGAGTGATAATGTTTAAGGAATAAATGGAGAAATGTGATGAAGTGAAACTGGATGGACAGTCCAAATTTCAGTATGGCCACTGGGGAAGACTGCTCTGAGGAGGGTGTTTGAGTTGAAACTAATTAAGAAGAATAAATTGGATTTTCAAGAGCTGAAAGAAAGTCCAGAATAGGAACAAATATCTTGATATTTTATAAAACAAGAAATCTAATGTTACATGTTGTGGTCTTTACATTGAGGGACAGTTCTAAAATACTTTAAAGATGTGTATGGATAATATATGTTATCGCCAACCCCCCGATACTCAACTAGAAAATATCTGAGTATGCAACAAAGAGGAAATAGTTAAAACAAATTACAGAACTTATGATTAAAAATTATCATTAAAAATATCATATATAAAAATGGGAAAATATTTTTAAGGAGAATACAAAATAGCAGCATGTAATCATAGCTAGCAAAAATGATGTATTGATTTGTAAAGATATGCAAAGATAGAAGATATGTAAGCATAAACATTTTGGTTGAGGACATTACAGAAATTACAAATATTCAAATGCTTTAGTGTCATTGTTTTTTCAATAAATGTTTTAATTAATCAAAACTAACAATGTGGGAATTTATTTTTATACAGTATTAGCTGAACTTTCACTACGCTTCTCTTAGTCCTAAAATATGGACTTAAACGCTGTGGGAATTCCAGTGCCTAGAATAGTGTCTAGAACAGGCACTCACATATTTTAGATAAATTAAAACATGGATACAAGATACTAGAAAGAGGGAAAAAAACTGATATGTTAAGAAAATTTGTTCCTTTCTCCTTTTTGTTGGTGAATCAATGAAAACTATAAATGATATCAGGTCAAAGAAAGATATCTTAATGTGATCTGGGGAGAGGTTTTTTATTTTTTAAGGGTTCTGAAAAGGCAAAGAGGTAATATTAAAAATGTCTTTTTTGTCAATTTATAATTATAGAGTATTCGGAAAGGACAAAAATATTTGAAGATGAAACCAATTACCAACTTAGCCCCAGAGACACATTACTAATATTTTATTATATTTTCTTCTAATGTTTTATTTTCCTGGCTATACATATATTGTTTTAATGAATTTAGCATCATTTTAATGCAGAGCTTTATATCTTAATTTTGTCTATTTTATCATGAATATTTTTCATTTCCTTTAAGAAGTCTTTGAACATAGAATTTTTAATGATTGCAAAATTACTCACTCAATCACTCTAGGATATGCTATACCTTATTTAAGCAATCTTCTATTACAGACACGTTTCTTCCAGTGTTCCACTTAACAGTGAAAATATTGCTAAAAAATATTTGCCTCATAGCCCGGCTTCTCCCTGTCTCCAGTGCTTCTTCCTTCACCTTTCCACAGATGCTGATCCTGGGAGCATGCCCTCACAAACCTCCCACACATGTATCTCTATCTCTGAGTCAGATTCCCAGTAACCCAAGCTGCAACAAGGGGGACTTAGCAGTGCCTAGCGAAATTACATATGAATTTCCCCCATGACTCAGAAATCCCATTTCCAGTGATAGCGCGAAATATAAGGATACGTGCACAAAGGTATTCATTGCAGCACATGTGTAACAGTAGAAGTACCAGAAAAATAACACATACTGGAAACTCAAGTGCCTGTCAATAAGGGACTTATTGAATAAACAATATCATATCCATACACCATGGTATAATAGAGTATACAGTGTATCTCTATACATTACTATCAGGCCATATCCAGGAAATAATGTTAAGTGAAAAAAAGTAAGGAGGAAAAAATGTATAGAGTATGTTATTGCCTTATCCAGTGAAGAGAAGACTACTAATATGTGTGTGTTTGTGGAGAATTAAACCACAAAAAATGCACAGAAGGAAGAAGGGAATTGTTTGAAGGAAACAGGGACAGAATATAGGTTTCTTAAGATCTTACTTTGGACCCAGATTACTATTTTACATAATTTTAAACAAAATTAAATTACACAAGCAATTCCAAAACTAAAAAATAAAATAACCAATGAATTGACATGTACATCTGTTTAGCGGTATAACCACAAAGAGCGGAAGTATTGGAAGTGACTTTAAAGATAGTATTTTGACTTTATATATGTATATAATAAAATATATCATTGGGACAAAAAGAACTGCAAGTAATCTTTGTTACAATAATCATCATATTGCTGGTAGTAGTGCTATTATTCATATTTTGCAACTGTTGTTTGTATATCTTGGGATAGAGCAAATGAGTCGTTACATTGGTGTCTTATAGAACCGGAATTTTTCATCATGAGAGATAGGAGATACAGAGGTAAGATTGTTGAAATCAAATTAAAACCCTGTAGCCCCAAATCTGATCCGAAGTATCAAAATATAAACCAAAAATATCTATTTCTTAGCTGTGCCTATTTAGAAGGCCTAGAAACAAAGATCAAACAATGCACAACTCTAACACCCGGACTGGAGTTTCTAAATGCAAATTAGGACTCCCAGAAATATGGGCTGTACGTTAAAAAAAGAAGGAAGAAAAAAATAGGGCTTTTTGGAGAAATGGCAGTTCTGGGCCTGAGCAGGAAATACATGAGATGAAATTGAAACCTCCTGTTATATTAAAAAACCAGGAAGCCCATTAAGGTTGGGTGGAAAAGATTCAGGAATCATCTTGAATTGGCTCCCAATGGCCAAACAGGACAATTTCAACATCAATAAGGATAATAAATGAAACACATTGTGTTTCCAATCATGATTTCATAATAATTCTAAGAAAAATTTAAACACATTGGTGACCTCTGGAAGATGCTAGGGAAACAACTCAATATTGGAAACTGGTTTTAAAATGAGAAAGAGAGAATTAAATATTTATTTTGCCTTTTCTATATAAATTATACCATAGAGTATGTAATTGGTGAAGGAAAGTGTGTTTTATAAAACTATTCCAAATAACAAATAAAAGGAATATTAAAATTTTAAAGCCATCATTTTATAAACACAAATTAATGGGTCTAGGGCTAAGCAACGGTTATTAAGGACTGCCAACCTCACAGTAAGAGAGAAAATCAGACCATTGTGCTCTACCCAGTAGAAGTGCATACTACCACCTATAAAATAGGTCAAAAATTCAAACATGAATCTGATCAAACCTCTAGATCAGGAGCTGAGAAAGTTTTCCTTAAAAGGTCCGACAAATATTTTAGACAAATATGGGCCATATGGTCTCTGCTGAAACTATTCAACAATGGCAGACACTGTAGCTTGAAAGCAGCCACAGTTTGTGAATGAATGGGCATGGCTGTGCTCCAACAAAACTTCATTCACAAAAACAGGGGCTGGCCTCAGTTTGTCAATCCTGACCTAAAATCGAGATCTAACTTTTAATTTGTATTATACAGAAAATACAAGCAAAAGATGAATATGTTAAATCAGTGGTCCCTAACCTTTTGGTACCAGGGACCTGTTTATAGAAGACAATTTTTCCATGGACCTGGCAGGGGTTTCAGGATAATTCAAGTGCATTACATTTATGGCACACTTTATTTCTATTATTAGTACATTGTAACATATAATGAACTAATTATACAACCCACCATAATGTAGAATCAGTGGGAGCCCTGAGCTTGCTTTCCTGCAACTAGATAGCCCCACCTGAAGGTGATGGGAGACAGTGACAGATCATCAGGCATTAGATTCTCATAAGGAGCACACTACCTAGACCCTTTGCATGAGCAGTTTGCAATAGGGTTCGTGCCCCTATGAGACTCTAATGCTGCCACTGATCTAACAGGAGGCGGAGCTTAGGTGGTAACGCAAGTGATGGGGAGTGGCTGTAAATACAGATGAAGCTTTATTTGCTCACCCGCTGCTCACATCCTGCTGTGTGTTCTGGTTCCTAACAGGCCATGGACTGGTACCCCCATATTAAATGATACCACAGGAAGGCAATCAATTTGCCTTTCCAGGTTTTCACCATTGCGCTTCACTGTGCCTGGAATCCTCCTCCCACAGATGCACACATGGCTCATTCCCTGACTTCCTTGAGGTCTACTTTCAAAGTCCAGACTGAAGTAAACTGTTCAACAAAGAGTAGCTGGTGTCTTCAACAACAGCAACAAAACTGCAAGAAATAGAAAGTTGGAAAGGAAACGCGTATCTTAAAAGAGATATAAAATTTGTATCAAGAAATCAAAATATTTGGGTTTTATTTAAATTTCAGTGTTAACACTTTTTTTTTTTTTTTTTTTGAGACAGAGTCTCAGTCTGTTGCCCAGGTTGGTGTGCAATGGCGTGGTCTCGGCTCACTGCAACCTCCACCTCCCGGGTTCATGTGATTCTCCTACCTCAGCCTCCCAAAAAGCTAGGACTGCTGGTGCGTACCACCACACCCGGCCAATTTTTTTATTTTTAGTAGAGTGTTGCCACGTTGGCCAGTCTGGTCTCAAACTCCTGACCTCAAGTGATCCACCTGCCTTGGCCTCCCAAAAAGGACTGGGATTACAGGCATGACCCACCATGCCTGGCCCAATGTTAACACATTTTGAAAAATAAGACAATCATGGAAATAAGTGATGACACTAAGGAATTATTCTTTTAGGTGTGATAATGATGACTTGCAGTTATGTTTTTAAAAGACTTCATACCTTTAGAGATATATATTTAAATACTTACAGATGAAAAGACATGATGTCTGCTGTTTGCTTCAAAATAATCTTGGGTGGGGAAGAGTGGGGCTACAGGTGAAATAGGACAGACCTGGAGTTGACTATTTTGGGGACTGGGGAATGGCTACATGGGGGTTCATTGTACTATTCTGTCTACTTTTGCATATGTTTAATATTTTCAGTAATTAAGAATTAAAATAACAAACACACAAAATATACCTTAGAATCGGTGGCAGGGATTAAAAATGTAGATATAGATGAAGAAAAACAGGTTGAGTTAGCTAGAGAGGAGAATCCCTTGGGGCAATTAAGAGGCATTATAGTGATGAGATTTCACCTGCTTGTCCCTTCGCATTAGAATAAAAAAGTTGAAGCGAATCAGATCCACTCCAATGTCTCTGAGTAAACCCATCCCCTCCCCAAATCTCTCAGAAGGGAAGGAATTCAAAGAGGTCCAGAGCTTGGGGCTGAGGGTTCAGGGCACTGCCAGCTGCTCACTAGTATCTGTATGCCCCTTCTTCTTTGTACAGCATCTTGATTTCTTCAGAGACGCCAGTGCCCATTTAAAAATAGCCAGCCCTTCAGATCTCCTGGTAGTTAGGTCTGGAAGTCAGGCCTCCCACTGATTCTACATTATGGTGGGTTGTATAATTATTTCATTATATATTAAAATGTACTAATGATAGAAATAAAGTGCATAATAAATGTAATGCACTTGAATTATCTTGAAACTCCTGCCAGGTCCATGGAAAAATTGTCTTCTACAAAACAGGTCCTGGTACCAAAAGGCTAGGGACTACTGATTTAACTAGGCTGGCCGTTAAAATATAAATAGAAGTCTAGGGCTTCCAGGAAATACATGGTTTTATAAACTAAAAGTAGGTGTATCCATTCCAATTTATTATTGCATGGGTGTAATTATGGTGCCTGGAGTAGTAGTGGCAAACTTGTAGCCATAAGGATAAAATAACACACCATGACAGGGTCAGGCAGTGACAGGGAGACAGAGACTGACCATGGGACATCATAGAGTCACTGCCCCAGAGCTGGACTACCTACCTGTACTTCATGTTTCATAGAAAAAATAAACTGCTACATGGTTAATCTGCTATACTAAGGCTTCTGCTACATGTGGCCAAACATAAGTAAGTAGTCACTAATATCTGAAACCTAAAACATCCAAAATGAGACTCCTGATCTCCTCTAATCCATCTTCTCATTGTCCTTTCACAGATCACTAAACAGCAGCACCTGTGTTTAATTTTTGGTCTTTTTCAGACCAAAAATCTCAACTCCTCTTTTTCCTTACTCACTCCATCAGCCAAGCCTGTTGGGTTCTCCCTTTGAGGTGTGTCCAGAATGGAACCTGTTCTCAGTAGCTCCACAGCTTCTATCAGTCTTGTCTGGGCCACCACCATCTCTCCTGTGGTCTACTTCAGTGGCCTCCCGATTGGTCTGCTGCTTCAATCTTTGCCTCCCACAGTCTGTTCTCCACCATCAATCAGAGGGTTCCTTTTGAAATTTAAGTCACATCATAGCAATCTTCTGTAGAGAATACAAAATGTCTTCCCATCTCACTGCAAATAAGGTCTAAAGTTCTACTCCTGGCCTGTCAGTTCTTACATGACCTGAGCTATCATTCACTGAGTTCCCATCATTCTGGCTTCCCTGATTGCCAGGTGTGTCCCTGGCCAATGGATGAAATGAGTACTCAGACACAAGTATGCAGTGTAAGAACAGCTAGGTGACTGCCTGGCTGTAGTGGCCAGAGAGCAGCCCCGAGAAGCTGAAGCTGCTTGCTTTTATTTACTGCAGGCATAATGCCGAAAGCCTGGAGCCTACACAATCTGTAAATGACTAACATTTATTGTTCCTCATTCAGAGAACATCATGTGTGCGGATGTTCAAATGTCAGCTCCTGGACAACTTCAAACAAACAGGCTTGATCAAGACAAATTCTCCTACACTCCCTTGTACCTACTCCTTGCCCTCTGCCTCAGGGTCACAGAACAGCTGCCTTCAGCTATTCTCCCCTGGAGCTTTGCAGAGCCTTCCGACCTTATAGAAGGGCCACTCCCTTTCCCTTGGAACATACTAAGCAGGCTTCCCTTCCAGGTTTTCTCACCCTCACTCCTCACTCTGCCTGGAATCTTCCTCTCACAGATGCCCACATGGCTCATTCCCTCACTTCCTTGAGGTCTCCTTTCAAGTGCTACCTACCAGACCAGCCTTCCAAGCCGGCCATGAGCTTGTTTGCACTCATCTCTATTCCCCTTTCATCTTGGTCATCCTCCGTGTTGCAGAAAACTGCATTTCTTTGGTTCTCCTGTTCCCTGGATCCTGGTGGGTTCAGCCCATGGGAGAGAGAGGTAGAAGACTGAAATCAGGAAGGAAGAAGGAAGGAGTTTAAGTGTTTGCTTCTCTCTTCAGGCTGTATTTCTGGTAACCACAGTGTCTTCTCTGAGACTCCAGCTTCTAGCAGACAGACCTTTCATCTGTGGTTCCAGCTCCTGCTGGGAAGGCATAGCATGGCTCCAGCTTCTACCAGGTGGCCGCAGCACCTGGACTTCAGTAATACCACCATCTCCCTCTGCTGGTTCTGCTGTTGCTGATCTCTGGGTTACTTGCTGTCCCCTGTGTGTATTTTCAGCTCCTCTATCATGGGTATAGTCAATTCCCCATACTAAATCCCTTCTGCTAGCAACGCCAACAAATCCTGACCAATCCAACTTGGTCTGACTGATAGGACTTCCCTGAACGTCTTAAATAAAATAGCCTCCATCAGCCTTCCTGTTGTCATGCTATCCACTTATATTATCATCTTTCATGGATCTTAGCAATACCTGATAGAGCACATATATATTAGTTTCCTTAATACCTATCTCTCCCCTGGAATACAAACCTCATGATGGCATGACTTGCCTGCCTCGATCTCTGCTAGACCCCCATTGTCCAGAATGCAGCATGATCAACAATCGGTGCTCACGCAAACAAACAAATATTCTTTCATGCATTTAAGAGGTACTGATGAGCACTCTCTAGGTTCTATTTACTAGACATGGAGATAAAGTGGTAAGACAAGCTTTTCTATTCAGCTTTGGCCACAGGAGGGAGTGGCAGTGAGGGCCCAGCCTCTCTTGTGTCTTGGTGCATTTTAATCATCCTGCTTTTGATTTGTGGTGGTTCCAAACTGAGTGGAAAATCACCTGTATTGCAATGGAAGCTTGTTGAAGAGGGGAACCAACTCTATTGTTTATCCTGAGTCAGACTCCCTAAGAGGGGAACAAACACTCACCTGACATGGAGTGGGATCTTGGGCACCTTCTTAGAGACCTTGAACCGGTCTCTGTCCCCATAGGTGTCAGTGAAGTACACTCCGGCTACACTTGTCACCTTGTTCCCAGGGAACCTGGAGAGCACCTTGTCAGGGCCGTGCTGGCTGGCCCAGTACCAGGCCTGGCCCCCGATTAACAAGCCCCCTCCATGTTTCACAAACTGGATCAGCGTTGCAGTCAAGGTGTCATTGTAGGCATTGATACAGTAAACCCCTAGGGGCTCTCCTGGTTCTGGCTTGACCTGTGCCTCAAGCCCAGCATCCTGTAGGATGTTTACTAGAGGTGCCAGGGATGGATGCACTCCCACGGGAGCCCCAGGACAGGGACAGAGCCAGCTCACTGCATTGAGGAGAAATGGAGCCAAGCCAGCATGCGACAGGTAGCCCTCATGGGACACAACCACGAGGCGGCCTCGGCCGTAGGAGGAGGCAGCAATGAGCACCTGGCCCTTGTCATTCACCATCACGGGGAAGGCGGCTTCTCCAATAAGAAGGAGTTCACTGGGGATGGGGCCTCTGGGGACATCCCAGCATGTCACTCCATCCATGAGGGCCTCAAACGCAGCAGCAGCAATGGTCGCCATGGTTCTATCAGCTGCTGCAGGGGGAAGCAAAGACTTTCATGTATTTAAGAGATACTGATAAGCACTGCTGGTCAGAACAGATGAAGGAACAGGTGAAAAAAGCAAACAACTAAATGCATTCACCTCCAAATTTTACTGGATTCCCCATTGTGGGCCAAGCACTGTTCTAGCACTGGGAGTACAGCAAGAAACAAAACAGATAAGGTTTCCCTTTTCGTGATTTGAATATTTTAGAAGGAGAAAGATAATGAATAAATAGGTAGATAAACAGATAAATAAAATGCAACAATCACTATGATGAAAATAAAACACAATGATGTGACATGGAGGAACTGGAAGACTACTTTAGATTGGGTGATAGGAAAGGACTCTGACAAAGTGGCATTGAAGCTGAAACCTGAAATGCAGTGAGCAAAGGGCATTCCAGCAACGAGACCACTTTGGGGTGGCTGAGAGCCAGGAGCAGGGAGGAGCAGGACCCCAGGAGGAGGGAGGGACGGGCTAGATCCTGCAGGGCCAGTAAATCAAGGTGATAGTTAAGTTCGTGTGCCTGAGTGGACACAGTGCTTGATTTTTTTGAACAGAAAGGTCATAGACCTGTCAAAACATGCCTTTCTTCTGACAGCTTTGCTAAGTTGGAAAGTGCCCCCTAATTTATCAAATCTGCCCTAATGGAGAGGACCCTCCTCTATTTGGTAGCATTATGCAGTTTCCGGAGGTCTTTTAAAATTGGCTGTGCCTAACACTGAGACTATTTGTCCCTTTAAGCAGCCCCTCTTGGATAAATGACTTCAGTCTCAGTTTCCCCATCTACAAAAAGAGAATAATACAGCCATGGGAAGATTGTTTTTGAAGATTAAAGGAATATGGATAGGCCAGGCGCAGTGGCTTATGTCTGTAATCCCAGCACTTTAGGAGGCCGAGGCCGGTGGATCACCTGAGCTCAGGAGTTTGAGACCAGCCTGGCCAACATGGCGAAACCTGTCTCTACTAAATCTACAAAAAATAGCTGGGCATGGTGGCGTGCACCTGTAATCCCAGCCACTTGGGGAGGCTGAGTCATGAGAATTTCTTGAACCCTGACGGTGGGGGGCGGAGGTTGCAGTGAGCCGATATCGCACCAGTGGACTCTAGCCTGTGCGAGAGAACAAGACTCTGCCTCAAAAAATAAAATAAAATAAAATAAAATAAAATAAAATAAAATAAAATAAAATAAAGTAAAGTAAAATAAAATAAAGCAAAGAATATGTCTAAAAATGCCTTGTCTGGGGTTGGTACACATACAGTGAGCACGGAATAAACGAGAGTGTCTGTCCCTTTGCTGTCCTTTTAAGTTTCCCGGGTTGCCGAGGGCAGCGTTGCAGATTGCAGTAGTGCAGTAGTCCCCTGGCTGCCTGTGCCGCCTCCCTTTGCGCGTCTCTGACGAGCCCACTGTAAGGGACTTTCCTCTGTGCTCTGATGGCTTCTCACCTCTGCAGGTGCACAAGGCAGCCCTGAAGTAGCGGTGAGTTGACACTAGGGTGAGCTTCGCCCAGTAGAGCGGGGATTCACAGAAGAGTGCCCCGTGGCTTTCCCGAGGTGCCCATCAGAGGTCCTCGGAAGGCACCCGGAGGAAAGGAGCGCCATGTGGAAGACCCTCAGCCACATGCTCCTCCTGGCTTTCCCTTTTTTCCTTGTCTCATTCTCTCCACTTCCTCATTTGGGCTTTTTGGTCTCACTTACCCCCAAAAAATTACCTGCAGGTAAGCCCTTGCATAAGGCTTTGCTTTAGGGCAGAATCTAAACTAAAACACACACCAAGCCCTTGAGCCACAAGTGCCTCCTTCCTCTCTCCCTCCTGCTTCTATATGCAGTCAACCACCTCATTTGGTTAATCTCTCACCATCTCTCTCAAACATCAGTCCCTTTAGTTGGCAATCATTCCAGACTAAACCAATATGGTTTTAGTCCCCAGGATGTATTCTCATCCACAATCGTCCTCTACAAGAACTCTAACAAGAACCGTTACATTTCGTCCACTCTCTCTAAGGTGAAACTTGCAGAGCGCCTCAGCCTGGCTTCTCCAGGGTCTGGCATGCCAGTGATTACTGGACGTTTTTCCTGCTACTTTCTTCCACTAAATCTCTCCAAGCTCGGAAAGGTTGGCATTCTGAGCATGCCCTGCATTTCCTGTAGAATTCCATCTCTTCCCCTCTTCCCTTCCTATCCGCCACCTTTTTCTTAATACTGCTCGCGGGAAAGAAATTCACAAAAGAGAGCCAATACTCGGCAGAGCATTGAGAATGCGGATACCTGATCTCAGCCTCAGAAGTTACCAGTGGAAAAAAGCAGCCGAGAGAGATCCGGAAGCCTGAGCTCAAGATCGTGCTAGCTACCTCCCAGAAGACAAGCGACGTCTTTCACTTCTGGGGCAGTACCAGTTTGACAGGATAAACAAAAACAGACAAAAAACCTCAGATGAGTAATATGTCCCGGAAAGCTGACCCAGCATTCCGCAACGAAATGTGCCCTCGTGCACGCACACACCATGCACATCTTTGTCAAATTCGTAATTTACAAGTTCAAATAGGAGGGAGAAACGTGTTTTGAGACAAACTGCAAATAGCACCAGACTAACAAAACGAAATGAAACCAAAGACCTAGACCTAAGAAGGGAGGGACACCCCCTGACGCCGGGTATGGTCTGGGGCCTCCAGCACTTTGCGGCGACCCCCAGTGCCCTAGGTGCTCAGCTACCGCCCCCACCCCAGGACCCGCTGGGATTGGAAAACTCACCCCTGAGCAGTGCGGATACCTAGGGACTGACGGACAGGCTCTGCAGTGGCGCCCGGGGGACGTGTCGGAGGCGAGGCGGGGCGGGGCGGTCCCGGAGGCGGGGCGGTCTCGGAGGTAGGGGCCGTCCTGGAGGCGGGGCCGTCTCGGAGGCGGGACTGTCCTGGGGACTGAGCTGTCTCGGAGGTGGAGTCCTGCGGTCCCGGAGGCGGGTTGTACCGTAGGCGGGGCTCTCTCGTAGGCTGGCCGGTCCTGGAGGAGAGGCTGTTCTGGCGGCGGGGCTGTCTTGGAGGCTAGGAGGTCTCGGAAACTGGGCTGTCCCGGAGGCGGGGCACAGGCTGGGGTGAGGCGGAGCCGACCCTGAGGCGGGCCCGGGGCGCGGCTACCGCTCCCTGAGCCACGCCCGTGGTCTCCCGTTCCATCGGTGGACCCCACCTCGGGCCGTGCTGCGGGCTCTCGGGGCGCCTACCAGGTGAGCGACCCCGCCTTCCCGGAGGGATGCTTTGGCCTGCATGGGGCCCCAAACCGGCTCCCTCAGGGTCTCTGCGGGTTCTTGGATGCGAGAGGGGACCCAGCCAGTTTGCTGTCGCACTTGATAAGAAAAGCAAACCCTAAGTCTCCAATAAACCATATTTGGGGCGAATAGTTCCCTAACAACAACGTATGCCACGGGGGAGGCCCCGCGTGGAATCAGGCTCCCTTCCCTCCGATCTTGGGGTGGGCTCAGCAGAGCCGGTAGCCGCCGCGTCGCCTCCGTCGCTCGAGCCTCTGCGTGGAGGGCTGCCCCCTAGTGGTCAGCGGCGGGCCATGCACTTCGAGCCCGGTGGATGCTTATGGCCATGGTGCGGGGTGCTCAACTAGGGCATTTTTCTCTCAAAGTATCCACAGAAATGCTGCCCAGCAAGTTATATTCTTGCTGGGAGGGAAACGTGCCTGTGGCATCACTAACACAGATTCGTCCGTGCATGGCTGGAGAAATTAAGCTAAAGCTATAGAGTGGCTGGTGCTCGAATTTCTACGCAAGAGAGGTCAGAAGGTGAAAATCAAGGTGGAAGGGTGTGGTCAGGAGGAGGATTTGGTGTAGTCTGGAGTTTAGGAACGTCTTACCTAGGAAAGTGATGACTGTGCTAGAATGAGGGGAAAAAAGTAGTCTGTCTGCATTTTGCCCACCATTGAGTCCTCATTGCCTATTTTCATTTCTGACATAGAATAGGCTTTAGTTTCTTAATAAATAACTAAATATATGCTAAATAAATAAGGATATAGTGAACGTCCAAAAATATCTGTCGAATTAGTGAGTTAATAACTGACTCTTCGGAGGACTAGTGGAAATCTGATTGGCAGAGGACCAAATACATTCAGGTTTCAGAAATAAAGAGCAAGGAGAAACTTACACAGAAAAGAAATTGTGGATAAGACTTGCCAGAATTTGGAATAATTCCGGCTAGAAATCCAACGTGCGGTGAAGTACGTTGAGTTCTTAGGCTTCATATCAGGGAACAACTGACCTTTGGGAGCTGAAGTGGGAGATGGACATCAAAGAAAGTGGGTCAGTAAAGTTCCACGTTAAAAGCTGATTCAGGCCCGGGTGCGGGGGCTCACTCCTGTAATCCCAGCACTTTGGGAGGCCGAGGTGGGTGGATCACCTGAGGTCAGGAGTTCAAGACCAGCCTGGCCAACATGGAGAAACCCCGTCTCTCCTAAAAATACAAAAATTAGCCGGGCGTGGTGGCACAGGCCTGTAATCCCAGCTACTCGGGAGGCTGAGGCAGGAGAATTGCTTGAACCCGGGAGGCGGATGTTGCAGTGAGCAGAGATCATGCCACTGCCCTCCAGCCTGGGCGACAGAGCGAGACTCCGTCTCAACAACAACAACAAAAAGCTGGCTCGGTATCTTTTGTGTGTTTGTACTCTTAGGTTTTAACCAGTCTCCACCTACATCAACCTCACTCCTCATGGTAAAGTACTACTATTGTTCTAAATTAACTCCTGAGAGTATTTTGGTGTTGCTCTAATAGAAGAAAGGGGCTTTAAACAAAGGTGATTTTTCCAGGGTCAGAGAGCAGAAAGTACCTGCCATTTGGGAGCAGGAGCTGCCTGAGGAATGGAACCTAACAACATAGGAACGGCATAACGGTTCCTAAAAAAAAAAAAAAAAAAAAAAAGAAGAAAAAAAAGATTAAAGATGGTAACCAGCATTTACGTTCTGACTAAAGGGTGTCCGAGAGAGAATACAGTCATGGGTTCTTAGTTTCTGTTTTTGGTTAGGCGAGTAAAACCCCTTCCTCATCCCTCTTTTCCCCTTTCACTAGAGACAGAAACTAAAAACCGTGAGTTCAGGCAGCTAGAAACCTAAAATAAAAGAAAACGGAACAACAACAACAACAACGAAAATAAGGTGGGTTGGATAAGCTTCGAAATGGTTACTGCTTATGCAAAGGTGCAGGCCCCAGATCTTTCCTTTTACTTGGGAGAAAACAGACGCCATTCAGTGAAAGTCAACATATCCTTACTGGACACTTATTCTGTGAGGCACTCTGGGAGATAGAAATGCTATTATGGTCAGTAAATCTAGAGAGGAAAAAAGACAAGAAAACAACTATACCAAAATTGGCTACGAATCAGGTGCAAGGGCACATAAAAGAAGCAGCAATTATTTCTGATCAAAGGATTAGAGAAGAATGTGCACAGAAGGTGACACAGAAACTCAGCTTAGAAAAATGTATATTTGCGGGGAGATAAAGGGGAAGGTATTACAATGTGAGGCTGTATAAGATTCCAAAGCACAGAGATATGAATGTGAAAGGCTTAATTTGAGAAAGACAAAATGTTCATAGTGACTGAAACTTGTTAGCAGAACTTGCATAGTGCTAGCTCTAAAGAGAAGTTTGGGCTCGGTTTAGAGGGACTTTGGCTGCCATACTAGGGAGTTTGGATTCCATTCTACAGTGTGGAGGAAGATTTTTTAAAAGCACCATTTAGTAAACACTGTGGTTGCCTCCTCAACATCTATTCCCTACACTACCCCTATTGTCCTTTCTAACCAAATCCATTTTTTTTTTAAATCAGATAATCCACCTCTCCTTTATGAGATTCAGGGGACAATGAATTCATCTCCATTTCCAAGGATAGATCTGTATTAGCTTAAATCAGGCAGGCTAACTCATACTTCTTGTGCTTCCATGACAGACTCTTTCTGGGTTATACGTAATAAATATACATAAACAATATTATACTTCATTGTCCAGCATATACAAGAGGCAAACACAAATCAGAAATATTATCTTTACCAGTGGTACATGAGTCCATTTTTTGTCAAATAGAGAGCAATTGCTGCAGTAATTGCAGTTTATCACTAAGCCAGATGCAGGGGTTACTCATACATATGCCTTCTAATTGTGGGCTACTATTAATAGTCACTGGCCTCCTTCTTAAATTATTTTCAGTCATGAGCTTAACTTAATGTGGTACCATATATTCTTTCTTTTAAGGACCTTAAGAATCTGGGAAGAATTAGCCACACTCTAATTTAGGAACAGAGATGGATGAATCCACCTATGGACATTTACTGGTATGAGTCACTGGGGAAGTTCACTAAGTCACTATTTAAGATGATCCAGAACAGGTGTCTACAGCTGCCTTAAGAATGAGTACTATGGTGGTGATGAAAATGTTCCTCTCAGATGTCCAACTGCAGGGGGTGGGTATGAAATTGCCAGATGGCCCCAGCTGGTGTGCTCTGGAATCCTTGGCGCCAAGGCCATGCTGCCAGGGGCTTCTCCAGGCTGGTGATCAAATGTAGTGAGGATCCTCAGGCAGGCCCATTCCTGGAAGACATGGGACTCTCCCGATAGGTGAGTTTGGCTCAAGGACTCCTCATGGTCCTGAAAGAAACTCTCTGAGACCTGTACTTCAGTGGAAGCCTGTCTTTCCTTTGCTGTCTCCTTCCCAAGGGTTAAACCTACATTGCAGTCTAATGGTGGCTCTCCCGGCCTTCTCTGGCTCCCTCGACATTTTCTCTCACAGGCATTTCCTTTAATAAATCTCTCGCATATCTGATCCTGTCTTGGCTTTTGCTTCTTGGAGGACCCAGAATAACACAAGTACTGTCATAATTATATCTCCTCACTTTAAATCTCTCAAGTGTAATTACTAAAATTGTGTTGTAGTGGAAGTAAAAAGCAAGGTTACTAACTTGAGAGTATCTATGAAACACTCACCCATTAAGTTTCATTCTTTAGTACATTTATAATAACTTTTATTCCAATTGTAGCATGGCCTATCTCCAAGGGCAAGTTCCTGCCTGCGTCTTCATTGAAAACAGTGGAACTTTGAAGCAATGGGGGAGTTTGTTGCTTCTCTTGACAAGCGGCCAGCCCTAATTCAGAGTTATAAAAGTTTTCATATTCTGCTTTTGGCATATCTGTAAAATATACTTGGGCATACATTTTTTTTTTCTGTTTGGATCATAAGTGTGTGAAACATACGTGGTAAGAGCCAGTTATATTCCAATCACAGAGGATGTCTTGGAACACATCACTGCCACTCCAGAGGTACTGAAACTTTCTTCCTCTAGTAAGGAACATGGCTGGGGTGGGGGTGAGAAGAGATATTCTTACATTTATAAACTGTTTCTCCCACCACCAGACCAGACATAAAGTTTGATTTTGTCCTGAAGATTTCAGTTGTCTTGGAGCCAGTGGAACTGAGTTAGCCCAAGAATGAGAGTGGATGTCCTTTTTCTCTTTCTGCCTTTGAAATATCAGGTTCATTGGACAGGTGCTCAGTAGATCCAATTTTCTTTAATTGCACCTACATCAGTGTAATATAAATGTCTTCATTCACAATCCCACAAGGGTTGTAGATATCAATATGCCGGGGGATAGTGTATGGGAATTGAGGGTCATAGTAGGTCAATACTATATAAGAAAATTCCTACAGAGAGTGAGTCTAAATCCCTACTCCTATGGGACCAGCGACTATTATTGTCTATTTATTTACTTATTTGAAAATGTAAACAATTATTTCCCAGTGGACTAATTACAAAGTTCCTGTGACATCAAGATCATTCCTTCTCAAGGCTTTTCACTATATATTGAGACGTGTAGTCTTAATTTCATTTTGGTTTGCCCCAAGACTTCCACCAAGTCTAGGGGATCTGTACGGAACTATCCTTTCCCAAGGTACATCATGCATACTTTCTGCTATTATTTTTTTTTCAGTCTGTCCCTTGTGGTCAATCAAGAGAAATGCAGACTTCAATCTCTATAAGAAGAGCAAAGGTTCTCCCTTTTTAAACCTTTGAACTGAGAAAAAAAAAAAAAAAGCAGCAGCTCCTGCCATCCAGAAACTTGTCTGGCGCTAACAGCGAGGCCATATTGTTCTCCCATTGTACAAAAACAATTTCAGAAAACATCAACATCAGATAAGGTCACTCAGAGACCGTCATAAAGTAAGGCACATACACGATCACCATGCAACCCACAAAATACTGATCATCCTTCTGTTATCTAAAATGAGTAATTGCACGTTTTAGAAACCAATCGCAGCTTTATTCTCATTTTATTTATGTTTGTTTTTGAGACAGAGTTTCACTCTTGTTGCCCAGGCTGGAGTGCAATGGTGCAATCTCAGCTCACCACAACCTCAGCCTCCTGGGTTCAAGCGATTCTCCTGCCTCAGCCTCCTGAGTAGCTGGGACTACAGGCATGCGCCACCATGCCCGGCTCATTTTGTATTTTTAGTAGAGACGGGGTTTCTCCATGTTGGTCAGGCTGGTCTCAAACTCCTGACCTCAGGTGATCTGCCCACCTTGGCCTCCCAAAGTGCTGGCATTACAGGCGTGAGCCACCGCGCCCAGCCTTTATGCTTATTTTAGTCAGCTCTCCTTGTATATGTATTGAGATCGTAGTTGTAGAATTGTTTCTGGTTCTTGACAGTATGTCATCCAAAACAAAGTCTCCCTTCTTCAGACACTTCCCAAAACTATCCAACCAAAGCCCACAGCCTATAATAGGTTCTTTCTGACACCTTTTTACTGATATACCCACAGTTCTCTATGGTGTGCATTTTCCCTAGCTGCAATGAACAACAGATTCAACTTGTTTAATTATAGGTGTGTTTCCATTGGTCTTTGGCTGTAGGGCATTAATAATATTATGTACTATTAGTGCGTTAATAACATTAATAATGCCCTATAGCCAAAAGTACTTTTACCAGTGCTAGAGATCCACCAGGCTTTCTGCTAAAGGTCACTCTAACATTACGGACACAAGTCAGTTGTTTGTCTTTTAATGCTTTTGCCAGCTGAAATAGTTTATCTCAGAGTTTTCTATGAGGATCTGAGATTTAACTCTGCTCTAGGTGTTGAGAGCAACAAGCTCATAGTGCCAGTTGTCTTGTGGTTAAATGTCAAAAGCCTTAATTAAGGCTTATTATTTTCTCCTTTGGAATAGGTCGGCTCCAAGGCTACACAAGCAGCAAGAAGAAAAGGAAAAACTCTGTTTTATTAAAGCTCCACTTGCCTATCTACCTTGGTGGAGGGTCAAGAAAAGGTTTATAACCTATTTGCAGGTTTTAGGCTCCTGTTTGCAGCACAGAAACCACAGACAATAGGTAAGCCTGCTGGGCCCTGGCCTATGGGGTCTGTTCAGGAAGAAGAGGGGTCTTCTCTCTAAACCTGTGAGATCTCTTCTAGACTCTTTTATAGATTGTTTTTATATTGTATGTTTGATCATTTTGTCCTCCCCTAACCCCCTTTGGGCACTATCTCAGACTTTAAATATTCTAAATAATTTTGGCAGTATGTGAAAAATGAATTTTATGTCACTAAGCGATTCATGGAAATATTTTTTTAGTACCTACATGTACAGATTTCTTAACCAATTATGTATATTTGAGTTCCTAAGAATAGAAGTAACTTTTTAATGACCTTCAGGTACACATATTTGTATTAAAATAAACCTTGGTTCCTAACTGTCATCATTGGTCACTACATTTTTTTTTTAAGTTGCAGTTGCTTCCCAACCTCTATTTATCTTTCATTTATTTACTCATCCCTTTATTCTATTTATTTCTAATATAATGAGCACCTATGAAACGCACCCAGTCTCAGACTAGAACATCAATAACTTAAGCTACTCAAGCTTTCCTATCAAAGAAATGCTTCTTTATAGCACTGAAATGCACAAGAATCCAAATGCATAGGAAGCATTTCTTAGTTGTCTTGATTGTGAGGTAAGTTGTTTTTTTGTGTAGTTAGAAGAAAGATCTCTGAGAAGTTGAAGATCACCTTCTGCCCACTCCCTATTGAAGACTGACTGCAATGATGTGGGTCAAAGAAAGAAATCATTTTAAGAGTAGAAGCCAAGCAGGAGTACAAAGGCTTTGTAAGGAGTAGAGAACAGAGGAGGGAAATAGTCTTGAAAGAAGGGATAGAGTCTGCTACTTTTGTTGGCAAAAAAGAGTCAACATCTAAGGCCTAGTTACCTGTTGGCCTGTTAGGTACATATATTAGGTGAGGTTTTGACCTTGGGTGAGGACATTGCTTTAAGCACTAAATAGATCAGATTAATCCCGTGAAGAGGAGATAGGAAGTGTTTCTGATAAATACTGCTTTGAAGATTGGCTGCAAGGCCAATACTCATCAGAGAGCTCCAGTTGACTATGGGAGTTAGACAACAGAGGAAAGTAAACTCATGACATATCTCAATTTCTCTTTACAGAAATTCAGACTCAGTGGTGTGGCAGAAGATAAAATAATTTGGGTTATTTCTGTGATAACATGGGCAATCTGGAAACTACTCCCATTTGTGAGGGTAAATCTCTATTATGATACATGGAAAATAGGACAGATGCTAATTCAGGTAAGAAAAGGTCTTTGTATTATACAAATATTTACCTTCAGACAGAAATGTTAATGAAGATGGAGAAGGAACAGTTACCAAGAAACTAGGGATAGTAGGACACAAAAAACCTGGTAACCTGGTAGTGAGTATGAACCAGTCTGGTGCCTTGCCTCCAGAGGAGCAGCAACTGAGCAGAGCTACTGGACAACCAGCCCTGCACTTCCCTAGAGCACAGACCAGCTCACTATGCAGCCACCAAGAGATAAGCACCGAAGGAGAACCTACCAGCCATGGATCCTCAGAAAACAGACCAGCTAAGTGCCCAGCCTTCAGGGGACAAGCAGCTGAGTGGGCATACCAGCCACACAAACTTCTGCAGCCAAGGCCACTGAGGTACTTGCAGGCACCACTGACATTAACTACAGCTAAAGAAGCTGCATGGAGACTACACTACTGCATCCACCCAGAACAAAAACAAATGTACCTTACCCAACCAACATGCTAGGACACATCTGCAGGTGTAAGTCTTTTCCGCTGAAAGTTATGCTACCAAGTTAGAAAAGGTGATTATTCCATCAGATGCACAGATGCCAGTGCAGGGATACAAGAAACATAAAAAAGCAAGGGAACATGACACCACCAAAGAAACACAATAATTCTCTAGTAACTGACCCCAATAAAAAAATAAAAATTTATGAATTGCCTGAAAAGGAATTCAAGATAGTGAGCCTAAGGAAACTTGGTGAGACATGAAAGAACACAAACGGATCATTCAACAATCGGGAAAAACAGTTCATGATCTGAATGAGAAATTCAACAAAGAGAGAGATATCATAAAAAAGAACAAAATAGAAATCTTGGGGCCAAGAAATTCAATGAATGAAATAAAAAAACGCAATTGAGAGCTTCAACAGCAAAATAGATCAAACAGAAGAATTTTTGAACTTGAAAACAGGCCTTTTGAAATAGTCCAGTCAGAGGTAAAGAAAAAAAAAAGGAATGAAGAAGCCTATGGCATTTATGGGACACCATAAGTGAACAAATGTTTGCATTTTGGCAACTTAAGAAGAAGAGATGAAGAAAGGCAAAGAAAGCTTATTTAACAAAGTAATAGTTGAAAACTTCCCAAGTCTTGGGGAGATATGGACATCCAGATCCATGAAGTTCAAAGGATCCCACAAAGATTCAACTCAAAGAGGTCCTCTCTGAGGCATATAACCAAACTGTCAAAAGTCAAAGACAAAGAAAAAAATACTAAAAGCAGCATGAGAAAAACATCAAGTCACATATAAGGGAATTGCCATTGGACTATTAGCAGATTTCCCAGCAGCAACCTTGCAGGCCAGGAGAGAATGGGATGATATATTTAAAATACTAGAAGAAAAAAAGCTGCTAGCCTAGAATACTATACCAGCAAATCTTTGCTTCAGAAATGAAGGAGAAATAGTCTTTCCCAGATCAGCAAAAGTTGAGGGAACTCATTACCACTGGACCAGACTTACAAGAAATGCTTGAGTATTTCTATTGGAAAAAAAAGTTTTCATGATAATTGCTACCATAAAAAAACATGAAGTATAAATCTCACTGCTGGAGATAAATGCATTATCAAATTCATAATGCTTCATTACTGCAATGGTGATATGTAATGTTTCAAACCTCTAGTATGAAGGTTAAAGGCCAAAACAGCTGGGTGCTGTGGCATGTGCTTGTAGTCCCAGTTATTTAGGAGGCTGAAATGGAAGGCTCATTTGAGCCCAGGGGTTTGAGTCCAACCTGGGCAACATAATGAGACCCCATTTAAAAAATAATAATAATTAAAAAAATGCAGCTCTGTGGGATGCCAAAAAGTGAAAATTGTAATAATGATTATAGCAATGATAAGTTGTTAAGGAATAAACAATATATAAAGATGTATATTAAAGCAACAAAATTATAAATTTGGGTGCAGAATGAAAGTCTAGAGTATTGGTATGCAATGAAAGTTAACTTGTTATCAGCTTAAAATAGTCTATTATAAGTATGAGAGATTTTTAATGTAACCCCAATACTAATCACAAAGAAAAAATTACAACAGATATACAAATGAGAAAGAGAAAGGAATCAAAGCTTAACACAACAAATACCCTAATCAAGCCACAGAGATAAACATGAGAGAGGAAGAAAGGAACAAAGGATAAACAAAACAACCAGAAAATAATGAACAAAATGGCAGAAGTCCTTACCTATCAATAATAACTTTGAATGTAAATGAAATAAATTCCCAATTAAAACATACGCCGTGGCTGAATGGATTAAATTAAAAAAAAAAAAAAACAAGATTCAGCAACATGCTGCCTACCAGATAGGCACTTCACCTATAAGGCCACACATAGACTGAAGTGAAAGAAGAGAAAATGAAATTCTGTGAAAATGGAAACCAAAACAAAGCAGGGGTAGTAATACTTACATCAGACAAAATAGGCTTTAAGTAAAAAACTGTCAAAAGAGAAAAGAAGGTCATTATATAAAGAAAGATAAGGAAATCAGTTCAGCAGAAGGTTAGGACAGTTGTCAGTATATGAGCACACAACACCAGAACACCCAATATATAAAGTAAATATATAAAGCAAATATTATGAGATCTAAAGGGAGAGAAAAATTAAAATAAAATAAAAAAGGACTTTAGCACCCTCTTTCAGCAATGGATGGATCATCTAGATAGAAAATCAACAAAGAATTATCAGATTTAAATTACATTCTAGACCAAATAGCCCCAGCAGATATTTATAAAACATTCCCCTCAATAACTACTGAATGTACATTTTGCTCAACAGCACATGGAACTTTTCTCCACGATAGAATATATGTTAGTCCACAAAACATATCTCAAGCAATCAAAAAAATCAAAATCTTATCAAGTATCTTCTCTTACCACAATGCAATAAAAACTAGAAATGAATACCAAGAGGAACTATGGAACATATACGAATATGTGAAAACTAAAAACAAGTTTTTACAAAACCAGGGCATCAATAAAGAAATTAAAAAGAAAATTTAAAAATTCCTTGAGACAAATAAAAGGAAACATAATGTACCAAGACCTATGGGATACAGCAAAAGCTATTCTAAGAGGGAGTTTATAGCAATAGATGCCTACATCAAAAAAGTATAAGAATCTTTTATAAAAACTTTATGTGGCACCTCAAGGAATGAGAAAAACGAGGGCCAGCTGAACCCTAAACTACTAGAAGAGAAGACTGATAAAGATCAAGCAGAAATAAGTGAAATAGAGCCTGAAAATAATATAAAAATCAGTAGAACAAAAAGTTGGTCCTTTGAAAGATAAACAAATGTTTTAGCTAGACTAACAAAAAAGAGAAGACTCAAATAAATATAATCAGAGCTAAAAAAGGAGATGTCACAGAAATACAAAGGATCATAGAAGACTTTTATGAGCAATTATATGCCAATAAACTGGAAAACCTAAAAGAAATAAATAAATTCCTGGACACATGCAACCTACCAAAGTTGAACTACTATGAAGAAATAAAATACCTACACAGGCCAATAATGTGTAACAAGAATGAATCAGTAATAATAAGTCTCCCGTCAAAGAAAAGCCCAGGAACTGATGACTTTACTGCTAAGTTCTACCAAACATGTAAATAATAATATCACTTCTTTTCAAACTATTCTAAAAAGTTGAAGAGGTGCAAATTCTTCCACACTCATTCTATGAGGCCAACATTATCAAAACCAGACAAGGATAACTTGATAAAAAGAAAACTACAGGCCAATCTCCTTTATCAACATAGATGCAAAAATCTTTAACAAAATATAAGTGAAACAAATTCAACAGCATATTGAAAAAATAATTCACCACAATCAAGTGAGATTCATCCCAGGGATGCAAGGATGGTTTAACATATGTAAATCACAAATGTGATACATCACATTAACAGAATGAAGGACAAAAATGACATAATCATTTTAATAGACAAAGAAAAAAATTTGATAAAATTTAACATCCCTTCATGATAAAAATTCTCAGCAAATGAGATGTAGAAGTAATATACCTCAACACAATAAAGGCCATAAATGAGAAGCTCATAGATAACATCATACTGAAGAAGTTGAAAGCTATTCCTCTATGATCTGCAATAAGACAAGGATGCCGCATTTATCACTTTTGTTGAACATACTACTGGAAATCCAAGCCAGAGCAATTAGGCAAGAGAAATGAAAGGCATCCAAATAGGAAAGGGGGAAGTCAAATTGTCCTTGTTTGCAGATGACATTATCTTATATATAGAAAATCCTAAAGATTCCACAAAAAACTGTTAGAATAAATAAATTCAATAAAGTTGCAGGATACAAACTCAACATGCAAAAATCAGTAGTGTTTCTATATGCCAGTAGCAAGCTACCTAAAAAAAGATATCAAGAAAGCAATCCACTGACAATAGCTATAAAATAAATACCCAGGAATATAGTTAACAAAGGAGGTGAAACATCTTGAGTGGAAACTATAGAATATGGATAAAATAAATTGAAGAGGACACAAATAAATAGAAAGATAATAATGAATTGCAAAAATTAATATTGTCAAAATGTCCATATTATCCAAAGCAATTTACTAATTCAATGCAATCCCTATTCTTCACAGAAATAGAAAAAAAAATCCTAAAACTTCTATGGAACCACAAAAGACCCCAAATAGCCAAAGTAATCCTTAGCAAAAATAAAGCTCGAGGCATCACACTACCTGACTTTAAAATATACTATAAAGCTATAGTAACCAAATCAACATGGTACTGGTATAAAAATAGACACATAGATAACTGAAACAGAATACAGAACAGAAATAAATCCATGCACTTACAGCCAACTGATTTTCAACAAAAGTGTCAGCAACATGCATTAGGAAAAGGAGAGGCTTTTCAATAGATGGCACTGGGAAAACTGAATATCCACATGTAGAAGAATAAAATTAGACCCCTGTCTCTTACCATATGTAAAAATTAGTTCAAAATTGATTAAAAACTTTAATGTAAGACCTGAAACTGTAAGCATCCTAGAAGAAAACATGGGAGAAACAATTCATGACATTGGTCTCGGCAAGAATTTTTTGAATAAGACCTCAAAAGCATACAACAAAAGCAAATATAGAGAAATGGTACTATATTAAACTAAAATGCTTCTGTACAGCAAAGGAAACAGATTGAAGTTAACTTAAGGAATGGGAGAAAACATATGCAAACTATGCATCTGACAAGGGGTTAATGCCTAGAATATATAGAAAAATAACTCAATAGCAGAAAAATAAATAATTCCATTTAAAGATGGGCAAAATGCCTAAATAGACATTTCTCTAAAGAAGACATACTAATGCTTAGCATCACTAATCATCAGGGAAATGCAAATAAAACCATAATGACATATCACCTCAGTCCAGTTAGAATGGCTATTATCAAAAAGACAAAAAATAACAAATGTTGGGGTAGATGTGAAGAAAGAGGAAGTCTCATATGCTGTTGTAAATTAGTCCAGCAATGATGGAAAACAGAATGAAGGTTCCTAAAAAAGTTAAAAAATAGAAGTACCATATGATCCAGAATCCCACTACTGAGTATATATCCAAAGGAAATAAAATCAGTTATGTGGAAGAGATATCTGCATTCCCATGTTTATTGCAGCATTATTCACAGTAGTTGCATGGAATCAACCTAAGTGTCCATCAGTGGATGAATGGATAAAGAAAATGTGGTGTATATATACAATGGAAGACTATTCAACCATAAAAAGAAATTTTGTCATTTGTGGCAACGTAATTGGGCCCAGAGGACATTATGTTAAGTAAAATAAGCCAGGCATGTAAAGACGAATACTGTACAATCTCACACAAAAGTGGATTCTATAATTTAAAAAGTTGATTTAATAGCAGCAGAGCGTAGAATAGTGGTTGCCAGAGGCTTGGGAGGGTAGTGGGGCAGGGGAGATGGGGATAGACTGGTCAACAGGTACAAAGGTTCAGTTAGATAGGAATAAGTTCTGGTGTTCTATTGCACAGTAGGGTGACTATAGTTAACAATATTATATTGTATATTTCAAAATAGCTAGAAGAGAGGATTTTGAATGTTCTTACCACAAAGGGATGATAAATGTTTGAGGTGAAAAATATGCTAAATACCCTGATTTGATCATCACAAAATATATACGTGTATCAAAACATCACACTATACCCTATAAATATGTACAATTATTATGAGTCAATTAAAAGTAAAATAAAACTTAAAAAAAAGAAACTTGGTGGCCTAAAGATTTCCACTAGATAGTTGGCTGTTTCTCCCAAGTACAGGGTTAAAAATAGCTGAAAAGAGGTTACGATGTTCAGGGAAAGTAGCAAAGAGTACACCAGGGAGACTGACAGATGGACAGAAATGCTCTGACACTAGCTGGCCTCATATAAGACTAAAACTTATTAAAGCTGTCAAATGAAGGGGAGTGCAGGAAAGCTTAGGGCCCTGGATGGTCCTTCTTGAAATGTTTCCCAGAACAGGGGCAAACATCAAAGGCCTTCTTGGAAAAGAATGAAGTTGGCAAACTTCATTCAATGCTGTATTGGACATTCCTTCATTCAACAAATATTAAAACCCACTAGATGGTAAGCTTACTCAGCAGACATGGTGAGATCAGCAGTAGGCTTTGTTTTTTGTGGAACACCTATACAAACAAAAGAATGTGAAGTGTGTTTTAATAACTGGAAGATACTTAATCTGGTTGGAAATAGAGACTTGTGGGGAGATATCATGAGCCTGGACACATCAAGTGGACCTAGATACTTGAGGACCTTGAAAACCATTTTAAAGGCTTTAGCTGGGTTGCATCTTAATCAATGTGAAGTCACTGGAAGATTTTTATTTGGGTTTATTAAAAATTTTTTCAAAGTAATACATGCACAAGGTAAAAAATTAAATAGTACAGAAGGACTTAAAATGAAAAACACAGTTTCCCATCCCACCCTTTTTAAATCTAAATCCCATTCCCTAGAGGTAATGCTTTTAACAATATTTATTTTAGATCGTCTGGTAACTTTCTAACTTTAAATAATATGTTTGAGCAATAATTTCTTGACTTACTGACTTTACAACATCTTTAATAATTCCCCATTACAAAAGATAAGGATTTAACTTACACTATCGCCACTTTCCTTTGTCCATCTCTCTCCAAATGTCTGATAGTTACATCACTTTTTAATACATCTATTGGTTTGATTTTATAGCTTTGAACAATACACTAATCCTCTAGTTCTTGTTCCATTAACTGAAGATCTTTTCATCCCCACTTTGAATATATAAGTATCTCTACCTTTGATTCCACTTCTCTTCCTCTAATTCTCAATCTCTTTCTGCTTTCTTTCCCTTTGTCAGCATTAATTACTTTCAACTTCAGTTCTGAATAAAAAATGAAACCTTTCACACTTTGTTAATAGGCTGATCTGAACATTGAATACTAATAAATGATATCCACATTATTTTGGCTATTTAAATACTTCTTACTGGGAGCCTAGTATAAGCTAGGATATTTTCTTCCCTACACACCCAATATCATCATGCCTGTGCCATAGAAAAGGAAATGTACCTATCAAGCCTCTTCTTATTCTTCATGAATAACTCAAAATCATGCCTCATTTTATTTTGCTCTATAATTGGACCTGAATTTTTTGACATATTGTTGATTTGTCTTTCTTTTTTCTTGACTAAATAATCTTCTCAAGCATCCCAGCTCTTCAATGATACTATCTATGGCACTGAATGCACATTCTTCCCAGAAAGCCCGAGACAGTATGCTCTCATCTGAAATTAGTCTGCTGGATAGCTGTCACTCTAGGGTGAGATACCCTTTTGGCTGTCACTCTAGAATGAGACATCCTAAGTAAGGTCCACTGTTTTATGGATCCCATTTCTTCTTCTTTCCTGGTTTTCATCCTCATTTTGCTGGAGAATTTCCTCAAGATACTTCCTCAGTAAGGGTGCAAAGGAGACTTTCTGAAAATTTGCCTGACAGAAAATGTCTTCACTTTGATGTTCTTCTTGACAGTCTGCCTTACTATGAAATTCTAGGTACAAAAATTTTCCTTAAGCTCTGAAGATGTTGATCCATTGACTTCTGGCATTCAGTGTTGCTGATGACAAATCTGTTAGCAGTCTATTTCTCATCCATTTTTGTGTTGAGCTAATCGTGATGACCTCATTTGTTTTCTCCCTGGCCACTTTAATATCTTCCTTCTATCCTTAATATTCCAAAATTTTACAATATTGTGTCTAGATGTAGATTGTATTGGGCCCTCTCAATCTGGAGACTTAGCTTGCTCTGTTCTTCAATTCTTTTTCTTTTTATTTCTTCACCTACACTGTCTCTGTTCTCTCTTCCAGGAACTCCTAACATTACATATTGATTGTCTATGTCTTTTTTCTTTCTTTATATTTTTCTATCTATTTCTTTTTGCTCTTTATCTGGAGAGATTCCCTCAACTTTATTTTCCAGACTGTATACCAAATACTTTTAGCAGTCTTATTTTATTTTCAAAGAGATCTTCTTATTCTCAGTCTTCTCTTTCTTTTCTTGCTTTTTAAGAGACAGGGTCTCACTCTGTCCCCCAGGCTGGAGTGCAGTGGCACCATCATGGCTCACTGAAGCCTTGAACTCCTGGGCTCAAGTGATCTTCCCACTTCAGCCTCCCAAGTAGCTAGGACCACAGGCACATGCCACCATGCTTGGCTAATTTTTAAAAATTATTTTGTAGAGACGGGATGTTGCCATCTTGCCTAGGCTGGTCTTGAACTCCTGAGTTTTCCGTTTCTTTGTAGTATCCTGTTTTTCATCTTAAATACACCTCAAATCTCTCTGGAGATGGAATTAAAATTAAGTTATTCTTTCCACATTGTCTTTGTTTCCCTCAGAGTTTGTCATATTTTCAAGGCCCCTAATTCTACCTCGTGACTTTTCTTATTCCTCTTCCCTCCCCATCGCCCATGTCTGGGAATTTCTAACTCACCATTCCCATTTAAGAATCAACATAACTGTTAACTTGTATAACAGTTGGCATGGGTTTCCTCTGCTGTTGTACAGTTAGGTCTGTTTCTTCAGGAAACCTCTTCTATACCTGAAGGCAACAGGCACTTGAGTAGGAGGTCTCAGCTGTCAGTAGAGAATTAGCTGACCGGCTGGGGGTAGGGGCACTTATTTCCACTAGAAGAGAAATTTTTTTCTGGAGCACCAACTCTTATCTCTCTGCAAGCAGCCTGTTCAATTCCTTTATACAAACAACAACAGCAACAATAACAAGAAATTTTTAACTGGTATCAATAGTGGAGACTGCCTGTGTTCTGTGCATAAGAGTTGGGGGAGAGTAGGAGAGGGCTCAATCTTACAACTGGAGTAATTCTTCAGTAGACAAGCTTTTCAGGTGCGCAAGTCTCTTTGGGGTTATGTTGTTCAGATCAGCTTACATTTTATCTGAAAGGTTCTTCACTCTTTCATTATCATGCTTCATCCACTTTCTATCTTCCAGAAATATGCTGAGATCCTCTCCACTTATAACCAAATCCCTTCAGTTTTCTTTGCTGAGATGTGTCAGTTCCTTTTTGCATTTCTTGACTTCAATTTCAGTGGGGCCTGGGGAGGGAGGGAAGGTAAACTTATGTTTACTCCATTATCTCAAATTAGAAATTCCAGTGGAGGCTTTTAGACACGGAAGTAACATGGATAACTTTATATTTTAAATATATCCCCGGGATGTACTGCTAAAAATATATTAAAGAGGGCAAGGATGGATACACATATTCTCAAAGATGGAGGATCTAATTTCCTCTCTGAGAACATGCAGTGTTTGGGATCTCTGGGAGTCAGGCACTTCACTGAAATAGTCCATCATTCAAAATCCAACAAACTAGAGAACACTTTCATGGTACCCTAGAAAGAATAACTGAAACTTGAGTAATGCAGAACCTAAAAGATCTGGCTGATGCTAAAGGGCTCACTCCAGCACTATCTATTGGGAAGCACTTCAGGAGCCTACCTTAAATTCTTTGAATTGTCATTTGGGATAAACAAAATGATTTTTTGTTCTGATAAAAGTAGATGATAGGTAAGTATATGCAGCCAAAGCTCTGGCAAGTAGGAACATAATGATCCTTTGGTTTGCTGGTCGGCTTCTTTATTTACCCATTGATGGGGTCATTCAAAGCACTGTAGTTATGAATGCCCATTCTGTAATCAGAATGCCTGAATTCAAATCCCAGATCAACCACTTATTAGCAATATAGCCTTAGATAATTTACCTTATCTTCCTTAACTTCAGTTCTCTCGTTCATAAAATAAAATGGGAGTGATAATGGTTGCCATGTCATGAGATTATTGTGAAGATTAAATGAAACAATCTATAGAAAGGAATCACTACAATAACTGGTACACACCCAATAATTGATAACAATTATTTTAAATGTTGAACAAATATCCAATGTCTCATGTTTAAAGCACCTAGGCAATGGATATTTGTGCAATCAGGAGAAATAATCCTAGGACCGACAAATAACATGACAAAGAAATCTACTGGGAGGCCGAGGTGGGTGGATCACCTAGGCCAGGAGTTCGAGACCAGCCTGGCCAACATGGCAAAACCCCATCTCTACTAAAAATACAAAAAATTAGCTGGGTGTGGTGGTGGGCACCTGTAAGCCCAGCTACTTGTGATGCTGAGGCAGGAGAATCGCTTGAACCTGGGAGGTAGAGGGTGCAATGAGCCGAGACGGTGCCATTGCACTCCAGCCTGGGTGACAAGACTGATACGCTATCTCAAACAAACAAACAAAAATCCAAAGAAAAAACTCTATAGGTCAAATCTTACAGTCTACATATCTACCCAATTACCAATTAAGCAAATAAAATGATATATTAAAATAACTAAAATAAAAAGTGAGCTAAAGAAAAACTGGCTGGATGTATATGACATCAACCAAAAGGACCCAACTTTAGTTAAAACTGTAAAGAAATAGGGGATTCTGAATAAAATTAAAAAGAAATAAGTTTGGGTCAACTCTATCCAACCATCTTGTTTCAGAGTAAAGTCCTCTATGTGTGTGGACTTCGTCTGCCAAACTGTTGAGTAACTCTTGACAGGCACTATGTCTTGAATCTGTGTTACAGAAATAAAAACACTGTCATGAAACCAGATACCCTCTGTTTGCTAAGGACAAATGTCATTATGGAATTGATCTGGTTTCTTCAAGACATCTACTCTTGATTTAATCAAAGAAGGAATTGGATCTGTAAAATACAATTGGATAAGGAGATCCAAGGAAGAGCTCCAAATTCACAATGAGGTTCTTATAAATAGCTTTACAAATCTAAGTTAAAAAGAAACAAAATTTTTTAGCTATTTAAAAAAACCCATTGTGAATTTAGAGTTCTTCCTTTAGATTCATAAGGCAACATAGCAGAATCCTTTCAGAAGTTGCTGTATAAAGTGCAAGATGGGCTAGGATTAACTACAACTGCCTCTGTAAATGTCATCTAAAAATAAAGTCTAGCTCATAAAGAGTATTGAGTCAATTAGATAATAATAATGGCAGCAGACATTTTCTCAACACCTACTACCTGCCAGGGACGGTTCTCATTGCTTTTTAAAGGTATTATAAAATGTAATCCTCACAATGATCCTATGAGATAGATCCTATTTTATAGATGAGAAAACTAAATCACAGAGAAGTTAAGGAAATTGCCAGGGTTATACAACTCGTAGGTGAAAGAACCAGGATTTGAACACAGGGAAGCTACTTGTAGAGAGAGTTATCCTAACCTCTAAATTCTGGAGACAGGATGGAAAGTAGTAAGCTCATTATCCTGTGGACCAGCATAAAATAGAAAATCCCCTTAGATGACATGCTCTGCAGACCTCACAAGCCTCTTCAGAATTTATCACTCTGAACCTCCACGACAACCCTGTGAACTGGGAATTTTTATCCCCATTTTACACACAGGAAATGAGAGTACCAAGTTGAAATGACTTTCCCGAGAGCTAACCCTACCTAGTTCTGGGCTCTTCCCACTATACCAGAATGCTTGTCTACTTTGAAAACTACTCAAGTCACAAAATATATGAGTCCATCCAAGAGCTATCTGGGTCTCACGGTAAATTTGTGTTCCAGTTGAGTTTTATGGTCAAGTTTTTGGAACAACTGTTCAAAAACAAAAGCCCAAAGGGAGTCTTCAGGATGCCAACATGAGAACTACCCCCTCTGGGCTATGACCTATGATGGTGAATCCAGGGCTGATATAGAAGCAGGTGCCAAAGCTCTTGGAACTGGGCCAGTGCAGGGTCAGGAGGGAATGTGACAGCTGAAAGCAGACGAACAAGATGCAGAAACAGAAGCCCTTGCACCTGAGAAATTCTGATTCCACTTTTGGCTGTGTTCTGAACCCACTTCCTAGAGACAGAGGTCGGTAATAAGGTATAGGGCAATGAACTAAGAGGACAAGGCCAGACCCTGGGAGGCAGAGGTAGAGGAGTGAATCCCCACCTCTGCCTACCTCCCCAAACCTCTCTACCTGCCACCTCGATGGGCACTCCTTACATCTGTGTGAGGAGGTACAATTTCATAATATTTTCCTTCCATTCAGGCAGATAGGCCAGGCTGGTAGCCACTTCCTTCTGGATGGGCCAGGCCCAGGCCTCAAAGAACGGAGCCAGGTTCTTCTGCACTTGGTGGGAGAACATCTTGACCCACAGATTCATTTTGTCAACATTTTCTGTGGGCAAGTTGGTCTGGTTCCTGTACTCGGTGAAGAGACGGATGAATGGCTCCCAACCAAAGGCTTCCTGGAGCTGGGAAAAGAAAGAAAAATACAGATCAGATTTGGAAATAAAAAAGGGTCCAACAACAACCACTATAATAAGTGAACTTAGTATATGTAACCCCTTACCCATCAGCTTCACGTCTATCACCGACCTGCTCTCCTCCATTTTGCCTCCTGGCCTCATGCCCTGCTCTTCCACATTCTAATCTTAGGAAGGGCCTTGGGACCAGCACGGTGTTCAACACCAAGTGGATACTAAATCAGTGAGGGCCATGGTAACAACTGCAATGATTAATATCAATATTTTCTACCAGTATCATTACCCACGTATCCCACTAGATCACGCAAATAGAGATAGGATATTACACAAGGATTTAAAATTGGCAGAATTGGAAAAATCCTCTTCTCAAGAGTTGAAAAGTGAAACCTCAACAATAGGGAAACTTCCACCTCATCCTGGCACAAAGAAATCCTCATTAATCATAGATCTTTGTCAATGTGCAAGGGTATTAAAATGGCTTTTGGGGAAAAAAAGTGAGTTGGATAGAAGTAGAAGACTGCAGATTGTCTGGGTAACTAGAATTAAGAATAAGTTGTAATTTTTGAAAAAGGCAGCCATCTTGAGGCTGTTGAGTTACAGAGCTTGAATTATGAGGCACTTGAGCAGTTCCCCAGACCAACTTCACATTTATTTCACCAATGAGAAACTTGGTGTTCCTGGGGCAAAGCAGCCATAACAAGGTTAAAGTGGAGCCTCCTTGGTTTTCCCATAATTCTCACGGCAGTGGGAATGAATAAGAGAGCCTCCAGCAGGTGGAAGAACCAGAATAGAGCATGCTTGGCCTGAGACTGAGTTCTGAAATTCAAGGTGATGAAACTCTCCAGTCTCATGCCAGGAACTGATCCAGGCATTGCAGGGAGGGAACTAGGCATTAAACAACTGGTCAAAGGCAAGGCCACCTCCTTGTCCAGGTCAGTGAGGACTCTTGGATTGCCTACATAATGGGGGCTCTGAGGCACGGCCAAGGCATAGTGAGAAGATGGTACATTCATCTAAGGAAAAAAAAAATAAGTCATATCCTATGGATTATGTGTATGGTTGGGGGGAACTGGTTTTAGATAGCTATTAAGTAGGAGAGTTTGGCTTCAGTCTCAGGTATGTCTGGCTTTAAAGCCAGAGAGAGTGAATATATGTATAGTACTTTATTTGTCTCTACCATTTTTAACCTTTCTCAGTGCTTTCTATTTACTATCATATATCTCTATGGGGTGGAAGGTGAGGCTCAGGCAATGAAATCCACTTGAGGGTCATGCAAGGCGATGCACTAAGAGACATCATCAATACGACTGTCACAGTTGGACTTTGTCAGGGCCTCCCATATCCCAGTGTGGGAGACAGGGGCCATGGGTGGTCTTCTGGGCCACTAGAACATTATCCGATAGTTGCCCTGATGGTCCCCGCAGTAGGGGTCCCCCATCACCCGCCATTCTTGCCCAGTACCTGTAAATACGTTTCCAGTGCGGTCCATGCATTCCAGTTTTTCACATTGGGACCCTTGCTCAGGTAGATTCTGACTCTCTTCTCCCGAACTGGGGGCCACAGAGCAATATTGGCACGGCTTCGAGGAATGCCCAAGACCGTCTCATGCACATACACACACCACAGGTTGCAGGTGGCCTCGGTGGTGTGTGGTGGGAACTCCCACTCCTGCCGCTGCTGGTTGCGGCCCAGCTCATGGACGGGGCCCCACAGCCCCTTGGTTCTGATGAGCTTCTCGTTGATGAGCTCCTGCACTGACTCCAGATGGCACATGATGGGGTACCCTGCATGCATCCAGCCTGGAAAATGCAGAAGGAGGGAAGAGAGAGTTAGGGTCCTCCCCATTTAAGTCGTAATATTCTTCTATGTTTTGTGTGTGTTCCAAAACACTCAGTAACCCCAGCCAAATTCCAGCACACCATAATACTCAGAAAAGCAACCCAAACCAAGACCCTGCTAGGTGTTCCTTCTCCTCTTTTCATTCTGGAAGAATTCCTTCATCTCTACTCTGACCCAGAATAGTGTGGCTATGGAAGGAGATGCAGCTTATATATAAGGAGCTGTTCATGTTACCATTCAATTTTTCTATTTTGATGAGGATGCCTTATCCATGTGAATCTGTGTCACTATAACCTTTTCTCAAAATTCAGAGCTCTTTAAGGGTAGCTCCTCTCTCATTGTTCAGATATGGAGTTGCCATATCAACACAAGTTTACAGTGAACATCCGTATAAGAAAGAAAATGAGGGTCCAGAGAAATTCCCATGGTTCTTTAATGTCTGTATATTTCCCTCACTTTTCATGTTCCTTGACCATAGGCAAAGATCGCTTTATTCAGTGTGTTCTTAAAGTTGTAAAATTCCCTTTTCCAACCCAACAACTCTGACCTAGGTCACGGCCCTCTGCCATTTTTACCGGCTTGAAGTCCCTGATGAATACCTGTGAAAGCTCAGGTGGCATTTCTTGATGTCCTTGACATGCTGACCTAAACTGTTTTATATACATATATATATATACACACATATACATATATACAAATATATAATATATATTATATATTATATAATATATATAATATATATTATATATATAATATATAATATATATTATATATTATATATATTTCCTTCCCATTTAAATAACAAGGATACATCTATATGTCTTGCTAGCAAAATATGTTTCCCCTACTGGCTGCCCACTGCATGGCTGATGAAAGACAGGAAGGCGCTCAGAGGCAGCATGCACAGAGGGTTTGCTTGGAGCACCCACCCACTGAGATCTGCACGTCGGCAACAATCCTCTGAGGCAGGCGCAAAGGGAAGGGCTCAGCTCCCAGTCGCGCCACAGCCTGCATCACCTCATCCCAGAGGCGGAGCAGCGGCTCAGGGTTCTCCAGAGTACGAAGATTTGCGGTCGGCACGGTCAGAATGATGTTGTCCGTGGCCAGCTCTCCCCAGGGCCCTGGATTCTCCTGGATACGCCTCTTCCACTCCTCCAGGGTGGTCTCCCCTAGGAAGAGAGACCATGGAGCTTGAAATCCTTTCCCAAATCCCTTAAATTACAACATACAACTTAGACTCCAGGAAGAGAACAACAAAATCATGAACTGCCATATCCCTCCTCTTTTTTAAAAAATGTAAAGTTCCGGGATACATGTGCAGGACGTGCAGGTTTGTTCCATAGGTAAACATGTGTGATGGTGGTTTGCTGCACCCATCAACCCATCACCTAGGTATTAAGCCCAGCATGCATTAGCTATTTATCCTGATGGTCTCCCTCCATCCACCCCCGCTACCCACCCCACTGACAGGCCCCAATGTGTGTTGTTCCCCTCCCTGTGTCCATGTGTTCTTATTGTTCAGCTCCCACTTACAAGTGAGAACACGTGGTGTTTGGTTTTCTGTTCCTGTGTTAGTTTGCTGAGGCTATATCCCTTTTCTCTATCCTTCTATGAAGTCTCCAAGGATGTGGTTTGGTCTTTATCTGTACAACCCCAAAGCTGAATCTAAGGAAGCTGACCCTTATTCCTCTGTTAGCCCGTGTCTCTCTCCTTCTGCACCAAACAGACTCTAGTCACCTCCTGGACTCCCATGCTCTCTGGAATCCTCATCTCAGTTCTTCCCCTTCCCTCAGGGGCACCCAGAGCTCCCACTCACCCAGCTTGTAGTATGGAGCATGCACAGCCCCCTTCACGGTGACAGGCACAGAACCCAGTTTGCTGTTCTGAGGCACAATTATATAGAGGAGTCCACCCCAGAGGCACGTGATCGATTTTGTGGGTTTGTCCAAGCAGCACCGGTTAATTACGAGTGGGCCTCGGAAAAGCTTGCTGGCCCTGGTCAGGTCATCTGTGTGGCAGCCAATCTGTATCTGGAGCAGAAAGATCCCCCCCTCAAGGAGTCACCATGGGGCACGAGTGGGTGGAAGAAGAGAGCCCAGCAAGGGACTCAGGATGGGTCATTCAGCCATGAACCCAAGCGAGCCCAGCCTTCCCACCACAGATGAACCATGTGTGATACCCCAAGAAACTGTAGCATTCCTTGGGGCATATGGACTGAAGTATATATAAATATTTTCCCAAAGCATTCAAACAGCTCCATAATGGGTCATGTTAGATAGACATTAATGTGAGAAGTGCCAGGTGTAACCTGTAAGGCCAATTCTGAGGAGGGCTGACTCCCACACCCGGTCTCCTGGTGTTGCTAACAAATAGAACACTTGATCGCCTATCTCATGGTGGTGATTCTGGCATTTGGAATGGGGCAGAGGGAACCCTGCCTTTTGCTGATCAGAGAGAGGGCCCAGTGGGAGGTGGTGTGATCTGGCTAAGATAGTGGAGGGTTTCTCCAAGCCCTCTTCCTGGGCAGGTACTTGGTAGAGTCCTAGGATTCTTTTCCCTGGGTTTATGCTAATCAAGTTCCAGGATAGGTACAGGCACAGAATAGATGCTAACCATCACAGTGACCCCCAAGGGGGATAGGGAAGGACAGCAAACTAACTTTGCAAATGGGTTCTATGTGAAAGTGACAGAGGGAAGGTGAACTGGGCAATTGAGGAATGGTCTTGGATGTCATGGGGAAGAAGCTGAAGTCAGAAAGACCTTGTGCTACCATGGGAATGGATACGGAGATGAACAGTGAACTCAGATTTACTGAATGCCTACTCTGTGCTAGGTTACCTTCCATTTGATACCTCTTATTCCCTACTCTAGGATGTAGGTCAAAAGCACAAAACTTAAGAGCCAGAAATTAGTTAGGTTTGAGTCCTGGGCACTTATTTGTATTAGCTCTATACATTTCAATCGATCAATCAATCAATCAGCTTTTCTGCACCTTAGTTACTTCATCCTTAAAACAAGGGTAAAATCACCTGCTCTGTATTACCAACAGGGCTTTGTGAGAATCAAATAAGATACTGACTGTGCTAGGAAGAGCCTTTGGCTTCCATGTTACATGGTGAGGTGGGGCATGGCCTTACCTTCAGGTCGGCAGAGGCAGCAGCTTCAGGCAGTGAGACTTCTATAATTTGCCTTCCAGGTATGTAGAGCCCAGTACTCATCCAGCAATATCTGGTGCCTGCCAAAAGCAGGAGGGGTAGGCAGACTTTATCCCTCCTCCATGATGCCACCTCCACCCAGCATCACCAGAGACCCTTCGTAAGCACGTATCTTCCCCTACATGCTGCCTTGACTCAACTCTTCCAAACAGTACTTAAAATCCCAACCCTTATCTTCTTCAAAGTTCATGGTAAAAAATGGAGACCACCTTCTGGACATGATCGGGTCCCTGAAATGGACTGCTGATGTCAGCCTGTCCCCATTCCCCCATTCCCATAATACTGAGCTTCCAACCCTTGTTCCTTACCTGGATTGGTGCAGTTGACCTCGACGGTGATAGGAGATTCTGAGGGGCGCAGATAGGGGCTGCTGTACATATCTTCAATTTCTGGGACTAACAGAGAGAGGTCGCTTCCAGAGTGGGCCAGCCCTGTGGCCAGGGAAAGCATAGCACCTCTGCAGCAGTCATTGATAACAGGGTTCTCTCGGGTTGCTACTGGAAGCCGATATCGACTTAGCAGCTTCCTCAGGAGTCGATGCACAGACATGTAGGCAGGGATCTCTTCTGCGGGAATCTGCAGGAAAGCTGCACCATCTGGTCCCAGCTTTGCCAACCAGCCCTTTTCCACATTTCCTCTCTTCCTGCCCATTATAACCTGGAACTCGGCCAAGGTGGAGCGGAAGTGATAGGTCCTTATCCCTGCTTTAGGAGTACGAAAGGGCCCTGGATTGAGGCTTTGGCTTGTAATGCTGATGCCAAAGGGGTTGAGGAGGAGGTTTCCTGGGAATCGAGCCAAAGGGGACACTCCGGGGTTCTTGAAGGCCCACCACCAGGCTTGGGCTCCAACAAATAGCCCGCCACCCTCTGCTACAAACTCCTGCAGTTCCTTGACCCCCACTTCACTCACGGGTTCAAAGCAGTAGACACTTGCATCACTGGTCAGATTGGGCTCGATGCTGGTGTCTATGCCCCCCACTGCGAGGAGGCCACTCAGGGTTCTCAGCTCTGTCTGCACCACAATCTTGCCTCTGCGGCCCCCATCCAGCCAGCGGACAGCATTGAGCAGAAAGGGGCCCAGTTTACCAACAGTGAATAATACCTTATGGCCAGTCACAACCACCCGGCCCCGGCCATAGCGGGCAGCCGCTATAACACAGCCATGGTAGGAATCTAACCCTAGAGGAAAGGCTAAAGCCCCATGCACTAGCAGCTGGGATGGGAAACAATCCGAGTTGCTGATGTCCAGCTCTGAAATCCCATGCAGAAGCTCTTCTCTGTCGTCGGAGAGGTCATCTTCACAACTGCAAAAGACACATGCATTCTTTATTAGAGGTACAGTTCTATATAAAGCTGTTAGAACAGTGGATGGCATACAGTGAGCGCTATAGATGTGTTAGCTTTGCTAATATTGTTATTTTTAGTTCTTAGGGGAAAGTTGGGAGAACAAAATGGACAGCTCTGACCTCACTGGGTATGGAGACTTGTTGGAGGGGTGGCAGAGGGACTCAGCATTAATTCTGCTCTGCTCATTCTTAGAGCACAAATTCTCCAATGGAAATTGCAAAGGGAGCCCTGCTGTGTTTATCCAGTACCATGTCTTAAATACTCCAGATTTTAGTTCATGGTTATTTCAACCCTCTAAACAATACATATAAAAAAATGGGAAATCATGTTTTTTTTTCCTTATAAGGAGTCTTATTTATAAATTGCAGGAAATTGCAGCTAATTTCCTACAAATAAAGTCTGTGGAAGGACAAGTCAGTAGTGCTAGTGAAGAATCATTATTATCTCAAAAGGTGGGGTAGGGGAACTGACTGGCCTCAACTCTAGTGAGACCCTCTGGTTACCTGAGCCCAAGAGGACTTTACTGTCTGCATCTAGAACTCCACTTTTTCACTGCCTGCCCAACAGGAGTGATGCACATCCATGCTGTAAGGTTTTGCTCAGCACCATCTGTTTACTGTCTGTGGGTAATCCAGCCCTAGAAGCCCTCAAGATGCCCATAAATCCAAAATGAGATGGAACACTGGATAAGGTGGAGTTAAGGAATAGAGTGGCCTCTCTGAGCTTGAGATTCCAGAGTTGGTTCTGTCACTTTTGTTAGGTAAAGTATAGTAGGATGCAGCTACTATAGTATAGTAGGATGCAGCTGTAAGATAACACCAAAAAATGGGGGTCAGGTAGACAACAAATTTGCAGTGTTCGTGCTGTACTCTCTATGGCTGGCAGAGCTCTACTGATGGGAAAGCTATGGTCCTCTTAGCAAGTATGAACCTTTACTAAAGATAAAGCTACTACCATACTAATTGGTGGATGACTCTCTAACTCGGTAAAGAACTATCATTAACATCATTCAACTATCTCTTCTTGCTCTGATTCGAGGCTTACCAAACAACTCTGTGATTGTAATACTGCTTTCCATGATCACCTGCCTAATGAGAGAAAGAAGTCACTGGCTAGGCCAACCAGAATATTCTAGATTTGTAACATTTATTTATTTTATTCAAGCAACATTTTGGATAGTCTGTATTTAATTTGGTGACTCTTAAAATTTTTTAAAATTCATTTTCAATTGTAGTCCTTTAAACATGTATACAAAATTTAATGAAAAATGTGTTTTAGTTCTTATAATTAGAGTTCTGTTTATAATTTTTTTCTCTTTTATTTTTGATTTTTTAATTTAATGGAGAAGGGGGGGGTCTCACTATGTTGCTCAGGTTGGTCTTGAACTCCTGGGCTCAAGCAATCCTCCTGCCTCGGCCTCCCAAAGTGCTGGGATTATAGGCCATGGCACCTGGCCTTGTTTACGAAGTTCATGCAATTATTTTTTTTTAAGAGTAAAATCAGTGAAGAGGTGGGCTACTGTGCTCTAAGTGAATACATCAGCTTCAGGATTTCTACATGAGCCTACTGATGAGAGAAATTAAACCTACAAAGCTGAGATTCAGACACTGAGTTATTAGAACTTCATCTGAACAATGAGACTACATGAGGTCTTGCTCAGTGCTTAGCCAGGGGGCACCCTCGGAGGCATCTGTCTATTAGTTCCAACAGCCACGATTTATATACAGTAGGGGCTAAGTAATTCTTTCATGTGTTGAAAAAATGAGTTGGATTTTACTTCTCTTCCTTACCCTCTTCTGAAGTGAAACAAAAGTTACTTAAAAAAATAAATCCTGGTGAAACCCTGTCTCTACAAAAATACAAAAATTAGCGGGGCATGATGGCGGGTGCCTATAATCCCAGCTATTCAGGAGGCTGAGGCAGGAGAATTGCTTGAACCTGGGAGGCAGAGGTTGCAGTGAGCTGAGATCATGCCAATGCACTCTAGCCTGGGCGACAGAGTGAAACTCAGTAAATCCATAATAGCATTGGATTTTGAGAAGGGTGCCATCAACAAACTGAGATAGTGGGGACATTTATAAAAAATATAAATCAAATGGTATCTGATTGATTGGAAAGCCATGAGAACAGAAGAATCTAACTGCGTACATGTGAAAGAGAAGATCAGGGGAACAAAGGACCAAAGATTATCATTTGTCCCAAGAAAATGCTCTGCAGTAACCAATAATGATCAACCTAGGATTTAAATGTAATTTAAAATGTAAATAGACAAGAACCACCAAATATCTGACGAAAATTAACAGCATGAAAGAGAAGCACCCAACTAAACTCCCAAGGGAACAATAGCAACAAATGGAGAAGAACGTTCTAAGTAGGTATTGCATATCATCAGAAAGTTCTAAGAAGATATATTACCTCTCTCGTGAAAAAATGGGACAGGCTACTCTAAAAGATTATTGATTAGGCTGGGCGTGGTGGCTCACGCCTGTAATCCCAGCACTTTGGGAGGCCAAGGTGGGCGGATCACGAGGTCAGGAGATCGAGACCATCCTGGCTGACACTGTGAAACCCCATCTACTAAAAATACAAAAAATTAGCCAGGCGTGGTGGTGGGCGCCTGTAGTCCCAGCTACTCGGGAGGCTGAGGCAGCAGAATGGCATGAACCTGGGAGGTGGAGCTGGCAGTGAGCTGAGACTGTCCCACACACAACCGCAGGCAACTACTGATGTGCTTTCTATCCATAAACATTTGTCTTTTCTAAAGCTTCATATAATGTAATCATAAAGTGTGTACTCCTTTGAGTTTGGCTTCTTTCACTCAGAATAACTTTGTGAGAACCATCCATACTGTGGCATCTATCCGTAATGCATCGTCTTCTACAGCTGTGTATTATGCCATTCTGGAGATAGGCTACACTTTGTTTATCCTGTCATCTGTTGATGGACATTTGGGTAGTCTTTGGTTTGGGCTTGCTGCCCTAAACATTAATGTACAAGTTTTTGTGTGGACATGTTTTCCTTTCTCTTGGATAAAGGGTGATGAAATGGCAAAATTGTATGTTAATTGTCAGTTAACTTTATAAGAAATTGCCAAACCGTCTTCCAAAGTGGTTGTGTCATTTTATATTCCCACTGGCAATGTATAAAACCACATTCTTGTCAGCAATTCATATAGCGAGTCTTTAATTTTAGCCATTTTTATGGGGCCATAGGGCATTTCATTGTGATTTTAGTTTTTTGCATTTCTCTGATGACTAATGATAGTGAGAATCATTTGGGCTTTTTGGCCTTTTATATTTTATCTTTTGTGAAGTGTGTTAAACTATTTTGGCTTAAAAAAAAAAAACTTGCAGGGTGTGGTATCTCATGCCTATAATCCCAGCACTTCGGGAGGCCAAGGCAGGACTGCTTGAGCCCAGGAGTCTGAGAACAGCCTGGGCAACATGGCAAGACTCCATCTCTACAAAAAATTTTAAAAATGGCCAGGTGTGGTGGCGTGCACCTGTAGTCCTGGCTACTCAGGAGGCTGAGGAGGAAGGATTGCTTGAGTGCCATGTTCGTGCCACTGTACTTCAGCCTGAGACAGAAAGGGAGACCCTGTCTCAAAAAACAAAACAAAAACAAAGAAACATAGGTGGTCTCATTATTGGAATATAAGAGTTCTCCATGTATTCTGAATGCAAGTCCATTGTCAGATATAAGTATTGCAAATATTTTTTTTTCCAGTCTATGGCTTGCCTTTTTGTTTCCTTAATACTGTCTATTGAACTGCAGAGCTATTTACTTTTTAAAAATAAAGCTCAATTTATTAATCTTTTCCTTTTATGGTTCATGTACTTTTTGTGTCCTATGTAGGCAAAAATTGCAAAGGTCAAGGTCACAGATATTTTCTCCTATGCTTTCATTTAGAAGTTTTTAAAATTTAGCTTTTGCATTTAGGTCTAGATCTATTTTTAAATATTTGCTTTTATGGAGTAGGGTGAGGGTCACAATTCACCTTTTCTCCATAAGGGTATCCAGTTGTTCCAGAACCATATGTTGGAAAGACTGTAATTTCCTCATAGAATTACCTGAGCAACTCTGTCAAAAAACAATTTACCATAAATTTGTGGGTCTATCTCTAAACTATCTGGTCTGTTTCATTGATCTGCATGTCTATCTTTATGCCAATATCAAAGTGTTTTGACTACTTCATTTCTGTAAAAAGTCTTAAAACTAGCCTATGTTAGTTCCATTTCATTTGTATATTTTTAGAATCGGTTTGAACTATGGACTGCATTAAATCTGTAGGTTAATGGGGAAACTGACATCTTAAAATATCAAGTGTTCTGATCCATCAACATGGTATATTTCTCCATTTCTTTAGGTTTTATTTAATTTCTCTCAGAGATGTTTTGTAGTTTTCACCATACAGGTCTCATGACATATTTTGTTAAATTTAACACTTACTACTTCATAATTTGGGTTCTATTTTAAATGTTGTATTTTAAAATTGTAATTACCAATTGCTGGTTGCTAATATATTAAAAAAGTAATTGGGTTTTGTAAATTGAATTTTGTATCTTACAACCTTGTTAAAATTAATTATTATAGCTTTACTGTAGATATTTTAGGATTTTTTTTTACATAGATGATCATGCTTTTTGCAAATACTTCTAAAAATAAAATAATTCCATTCTAGGAAATGCTCTAACTTTATGTTTAAATGGATCTTGTCATTTAAAAATCTTCTAAATGTGTAAAATACTTTTTTCTTTTAAATTTGTTTTCCAACACCAAGATTCAAACATTTCCTGTCTTTTGGCTCAGTGTTCTAGAAAAACAAAACACATATATATATATTTTTTTAAATTTCCAATCTCTATGCCTTATTTTCCTTGCCTTATTACACTGGGTAGGACCTGTAGCACAATGTTGAATAGAAGAGGTGAGAGCAGGTATTATTCCTTGTCATGTTCTCAGTCTTAGGGGAAAATGTTCAGTATTCACCTTTAAGAATATTTTTAACTATATATTTTTCGTAGACATTTTTATCAGGTTGAAGCAGTTCCTTTTTATTTCTCATTTGCTGAAATTTTATCATCATTTGGTATGATTTGGTATTGAATTTGGTCAATATTTTGTATGTGTATTATTGAATTATATGGTTTTTATTTTTCTTTTGGTTTTTTTTTTTTTTTTTTTGAGACAGTCTCACTCTGTTGCCCAGGCTGAGTACAGAGGCACGGTCTCAGCTCACTGCAACCTCTGCCTCCCAGGTTCAAATGATTCTCATGCCTCAGCCTCCCCAGTAGCTCGGACTACAGGCACACAACACCATGCCCAGCTAACTTTTGTATTTTAATAGAGATAGCGTTTCACTATGGTGGTCAGGCTGGTCTCAAATCAAACTCCTGATCTCAAATGATCCACTCACCTTGGCCTCCCAAAGTGCTGGGATCACAGGCATGAGCCACCATGCCCAGCCTTGAATTACATGGTTTTTCTCATTCATTCTATTAATATGGTGAGTTAATCTGATTACTGAATGTTAGACCAGTCATTCATCCTAGGATAGCCTTACTTGGTCATGAAGTATTCTTCTTTTTATATATTTCCGTATTCTATTAATATTTTATTAATAATTTTTCATCTATATTCATGAAGGATATTGTTTTGTAGTTTTCTTACGATGTCCTTTTCTGGTTTCAGTATTAGAGAAATGCTGTTTTAATAAATCAAGTTGGAAGATCTTCCTTTTCTATTTTTAAAAAGAGTTTATGTAGGATTTGTATTATTTGTTCCTTGAATGTTTGATAAAATTCATCAATGAAGCTGTCTGGGCCTGGAATTTTCTTTGCGTTGTTGATTTTAAATACAATTTCTATTTTAAAATGTAAGAAAATCGAAAACTTGCAATATAGTAAAACATCCATTATACATTTGTCAAAACTAAGAAGTCAACAGTGATCAAACACTACTAACTAAACTCCAGATTTTATATAAATATCATCACTCTTCACACCAATGTCTTTTAGGATCCAATCCAGGATACCACATTGCATTTAGTGTTGGAATGTTTAAAATTACAATTCAATTTATTTAGCATATATTTCATGTTTCTTTTTGTATCCATTTTGGTAATTTTTGGCTGTCAGGAAATTTATCTATCTCATCTAAATTGTCAAATTTATTGGCATAAAGTTGTAATATTCCCTTACTATCCTTTTAATGTCTGTAGGATCTGTACTAATATTCCTTCTTCTATTCCTGAAATCCATAATTTGTGTTATCTCTCCTATTTTCATAGCTTATCTAGAGGTTAATCACTTTTAATGATTTTTTTTCAACTAATCAGCTTTTGGTTTTACTGTTTACTTTTTTTTTTAAAGTTGTTTCACAGATTTCTGCTCTATTATTTCCTCGTTTCTTCTACAGATTTTGGGTTTAATTCAATTTCCTTTTTTAGATTCTTAATATGGAAACATAGTTCACTGAGTTTCAAATTTTCTTCCTTCCTAATAAAAGTATTTAAAGGCATATCTTTCTTAGCACTGTTTTAATAGAATTGCACAATTTTTGACATGTTATGCTTTCATTTTTATTCAGTTCTAAATATATTCTAATTTCCTTTGTAATTTCTGCTTTGACTTAAGGAGTATTTAGAAACATTTTTAAATTTACAAATATTTAGGAATTTTTCAGATATGTTATTGAATTCTAATTTAATTCCACTGTGATGAGGACATATATGGTATGATTTCAATTCTTTTACTCTTGCTAAGGCTTATTTTATAGCACAGCAGATGGTCTATCTTCATGGTCTATCTTCATGACTATCTCATGTGCACATAAAAGAATGTGTATTCTGCTATTGTAGCCATGCTGTTAGCATTCATAAAATAAAATTAAATAAACAAATATGGAGAAAACCCCACATGGAATAAAAACAGGCCCAAATGTAAAAAGCAATTTGAATACTTTTGAATATAGTACTTGCTGGACTCTATATGCTCAGTGTGGTGTATTCAGAAGGCAAAAATAACTTATCAAGTTTGTTATTGGCAATAGCATGGGTATAGGAATCATGAAACTCGTTTGTGTGTATTATTGGACTGAGCAAATAGGTAAATGTTGAAGCTGTTGAAACCAGGATTCTCACTATGGCAGAAGAAAAATACTAATATGGAATGAGTGAAAGAGAAGAAGAATCCTGTGGTTTTGAAGTAAAATTGGGGGTATCAGTGTGAATGTATGATTAAAAGATATGGCTCTCTCAGAACCCAGAAATGATGACACCATAGCACTGAGCATGCTTTAGATCTTGGTTTCTAAATACCGTTCACCACTAAAAGGAACTAGCATTCCTTGAGGAAATGGCTGAATCCAGGTTTTGAACCAGAAAAGTACAAGGTAACCTTGCAACATCTTTTTATGTCAGAAACTAAGTAAATACTAAAAAAAAACTGATGGGCTCAGGAGACAGCTTAACGAGGCTTTAACTTGCCAAATTTGGGACAACTTAGCCTTCAAAAAATACTGACTATAAATGGATTGTAATGTATTCGATCTTAAAAGAAAAGGATCCATGAGTATAGGGTGATACTAAAACAAACGTTTAAAAAGAAGAACAACCCTAACAGTAAATGTGAAGGTGGGGAAGCGAAGGTCTTATTTACCAAAGGATGTCAATCAGTTCTTATAGAAATCTACAAGTAAACCAACACTTAGCCTGAGGTAAGTGCTAAGATGTTAGGTTAGTATGGGAGCACAAAAGACTCATCTATATCAGAATGAGAGGAGAGGAGTAAGGGACAGCTTTCTAAAGATGTGATACCTGAGATGAATTTTGAAGAAAGGTTCAGAAGTGGCTGAAGTGGTAGAAGTAGCCACTTTCATAAATATTTACTCAGGCACAGATCACCAATGAAAGCTAAAACCACTGGGTGAAAGGTTGTTGGCAAACAGGATATTCATACAGATCTCAAATTGTCACACACTAAATTAGTTTTAAAAAAGGGGGAAAGGAATAAAATAAGTAGAAATAAAATATAATAAATAAAATCAGTAAAATAGGAAAATCTGGCAAACTCCAGTTTAATTAAATGACCAATTTTAACATCACCAGTAATTGGACAAACTGACCTCATGCACCTTTAATTTGTGACACTGTGATGAAAACAACATAAATTATTTTCTTGCCAAAAATGTGTGAACTGAGTGTAATCATGAAAAAAAAAACAATTAGACAAAGCCAAACTGAAGGGCATTCCATAAAACAACGGGACTGCATACTTCAAAAATACTAATGTCCTGAAAGATTTAAAAAAAAGCTAGGGAACTATTTTGATTAAAGGAGACTAAAGAAATATGATATGGAAACTTGATTAGATCCTATATCTTAAAAAATCTAAAAAAGGGATTTTTTTGAACAATTAGAGACGTTTGAACATGGACATTAGATAACAACATTCTATCAATGTTACATGTTTTGAGTGAGATAACTGTATTGTGGTTATATGGGAAAATGTCCTTGTTAGGAGATACAGGCTGAAGTATTCAGGTATGAAGTGTCATATCCATCACCTGCCTCCTTCATTCTTGAGATCTGTAGGTTACTCTCAAATGGCTAGGCCAAATAATCTCTTCGTATGTATACTTATGCAGCATATGTGGCAAAATGTAACCACTGGTGAATCTAGGTAAAGGGTGCGGTGATTATTATGTTATTCTGACAACTTTTCCTTAAGTGTGAAAAATTTGAAAGAAAGAGCTGGGAAAAATTAAAGGTAGCTATAATAATGATACAAAAATTGTGTATAACTTCTAAACAGAGAGAAGGGGAAAAGAAACTCCATCAATCAAGCTAAAGGCAGCAAAGGAAAATTTGAAAAGAAGCAACGAGACTGTTTAACAAAGAACATCAAATAAGATGATGGAACTAGAAGAAAAACACCAATGTCCTTAATTATATAAAAACATCAATGTCCTTAATTATATAAATTTTTAACCCTCAATTGGGTTAAAAAATCAGATTTGTACTAAGAGATGTATCTTTAAAAGCAAAAGAAAGAATAAAAAGATCAACAAGTAAAACAAAGTAGGAGTCAGAATTAATATTAGACAAAATAAAGGTGAAAAATACTAAATGCAAGAAATAATATTTTAGATGACAAAAATGTATGAGCCATAAAAAAGTCATGAGTTTTTATAAACCTAAAATATAGCTTTGAAATATATAAAGCAAAAGCCAAATTCAATTCTAAAATCACACTGAGAGTATGAAACAATTGTGATATACATCTCTATACTTATCCTTTAGACCAATATATAATATAAATATATTATTTATATTTCCATGACTTAACTGATTATATAATCAGTTGATCTAAAGGGTAAGTACAGATATAGGTACATAACAGATGACACTTATGGAATCCTCTTGAAAATGATATGGTTTTTGACATTTTGTTAGGACAGAAAAATAGTGATAATTTTAAAAATGGGATAACAGTATTGTGACTACATTTAAAATTTTGTCTTTATCTTTTGGAGATATACTATTTTATGGGTGAAATGACACACTGTTGGAGATTGGCTTCAAAACAAACGGGAAAGGTTAAGGAGTGGGTGGGGTGTGATTTGATACCATTACCTGGGTGATGAGTACATGTGCTCATTGTTCTATTTCTATTTCTGTTACGTGTTTGAAAATTTCCAAAATAAGATGTTTCTAAACGGAAATTACCAAGTCTTTAAAATGAAGAGGTGTATGTCAAGCTTAGGGGTGGTAGCGAAAAGATAGTCATTGTATTATTATTTATAAGAAAAAATAGAAATAACATTAATGTGCTAATAGGCAAATGGTTAAATGAATTTCAGGACAATCCAACTGAATGCAAGATGCTCTTCAAAAGGATGATGCCCATCTTTTTACAGGGATATGAAAAAAACGCTCAGGATATAGTCAGTGAAAGAGCAAGTTGCAGATCTCTCTCTTTTTCTCTGTGTCTCTTTCTACCAGTCCAGCTCTCCCAACTCTAACCCCAATACATAAATGTAGGAAAAACATCAGACAAGATACCATCCAAACCATTAGCAGTGATCATTTCTTTGGAAGGGGGGAAGAAAAGAATTAGCGAGAGGCAGAGGATGAGGTGGAGGACAAAGATCTTTCACTTTTTACTTCGTATGCTTCTGAATTATTTTACTTTTTTCCCAAGAAGCACATATTTTAAAATTAAAAAGGAAAAATGTTCATTAAAAGGAAAAGAAAACAATTGTGATTTGGCAATCTCTCTTATAAAACAGCATATTTTGCCACTTGTACTCACTCTCTAAAAAGTTCTATTTTGTGAAAATCAGTTAAAACAATTTTAGTATATATGGCTAAGCATATAGTAAGAAGTACAAAGCAGGAGTTAGGTAAATACATTCACCCCACCATGCCTGGGCATTGATTCTGACCTAAAACCTATAATTAGGATTCTATATATGCCTAACATATAACCAGCAATAACCAGCAACGACCTCCAAGGATGTGCAAGATCCTTATTATAAATAAACTTACAACCAAGTCTCTTTTGTGTCTAATATCCCTTCACCATTTTTCAAACTGAAGGGGGCATGGATAGCATCAATTTATAAGGCTGGTCAATTCAGGTTTCGTGAGGGTATTTTCAAACCAAATTTATGGGAGCATTTGGGCATTTAGAGTATGACCATTTGTACGGCGTTCTTTTCTATGCATCTCTGATGACTTTGTGAACATACAGAGATCACTGTAGACTGAAAAATGTCCTACAAGGGACAGTAGGAGCTTCTATGCCACCACTTTCCTTTAGAGAGAAAAAGAGAATTGAAAGGACATGCTAGTGCCACACTGTGCCATTACTGGTTATAGATCCCAGGTTTCCAGGTTTTATGAACAATGATAGCATAACCCTCTTCCTACAACAGTTACTTGGTTTTTGACTTTTGTTTCCAAGTCTTGTAATTGGAGATGTTCCTGTGCCCCTAATTCTCAGATCTTTGCAAATCAGGTTCTTGAAATAAGAAATAATGCCTGGGATATATAATATGTTTAATAAACCCTGGCTAAATAAATGGATGAATGAACAGAGAGTTTGAACTCCTTTGCAGAAGCCCAATATTTGGGCTAAAATGATACGAGTCATCTTTTTGTCCAAAAACATAGTAGACTAACTATTCTGGTTGATCTTCCTAAAACTTCCCTAAAAGTCCCATGCCAAGGAGAAGTCATAGCTCATTCCCCATACCTTCGTAGTACCCTTGGTGTGTCGTCCTCACCCAATCCTACCTTGCTCCATTCCCATCAGTCAGAAATATCAGTGTTGTTTGTTCTGAGAATGCGGAGAGTTTTAATATACAACATAGAGAGTGGCCTAATGTACTTTTTCTGCTCCCGGGACTAATCCAGCTTATAATCCCTCTCATTCATTCATGCAGTCATGCATGCAAGAGATGTTTACTGAGCACCTACTGACCTGCTATCTGTTAGGCACTATATGTGGTGCTGGAGTGCAGTGAGAGCAAAGCAGGCAGGGCAGTACACTCCAAAAACTTTCAGTGCAGGCTCTCCTGCACCCATCACCTGACTCCTTCATTACTGATCATCAACCTTTTGCCCCTCCTAAATCCTAGATTTAGCACATATAACTTGAACCATCTTTTCTGATATCTTAACTTCTGAAGGCTTCTACTTCCTATTGCATCCTAACCTCATCTGGATAGACATTTCAAAACCTTCCCCACACCTCTCTAGGCTTTGGCTCATGGGGTCCTTCATGCCTGTTTTCCTTTTCTTCACATTCCTGTTGAAAGCAACCTCTCCTATAAACCATCTGGATTAACTATGCCAACTGTTGGGGCCAACAGCACAGTTTTGATTAAGCAAGACACTGGGACCATAGCCACCATTAAGTTCAAATTATCAAAGAGCTAAATGGTCTGGTTTGGGAAGACAGGGGCAGTGAGGACCTTGCCCCTCCTATGTCTCAGGGCATTTAAAAAATCTAGTTGATATGTAGTGATTCCATATCTGAGTGCCTGGGAGCACTCTTCTGTTAGCCTTGGAGCAACCTGAAGATAAGAACTGGGTCTGCTTTTCAACCCTGGAGCCAACTCCCCAGTGGGGTAACATACTCACCTAACCAACACTGGGATCTTGGGCATCTTCTTGGAGACTTTAAAGAAACTCGTGTCCCCTTTGTTGTCAGTAAAGTAAATGCCAGCCACACTGGTCACGAGGTTCCCAGGGAACGTGAACAGAACCCTTTCATCCTCCCCCTGGTTGGCCCAATCCCAGGCTTGTCCTCCTATGAGCAAGCCGCCACCACATTTCATGAACTTGACCAGCTTTTCTGTCATGGTTTCATTGTAGGCATCAATACAGTAAACCCCCAGGGAGTCTTTCACTTCTGGCTCAACCTTTGCATCCACTCCAGAGCCCTCGAGGATTTTGGCCAAAGGTGCCAGGGATGGGTGTACACCAATGGGAGCCCCAGGGGAAGAGCAAAGCCACCCCACTGCGTTCAGGAGAAAGGGCGTGAGCTGGGCTTCCACCAAGTAGTCCTCATGGGACACGACCACCAGGCGGCCACGGCCATAGGAGGAGGCAGCAATGAGGACCTGGCCCATGTCATTCACCATCACAGGAAATGAAGCCTCTCCAATAAGAAGCAGTTCACATGGAACAGCATCTTCGGGTACATCCCAGCTTGTCACACCATTCATAAGGGCCTCGAAGGCAGCAGAGGGAGTCGCCATGGCTCTATTGGTTTCTGCAGAGAAGAAAGCAAAGGCTCAGCTTAGCGAAGAATGGATAAACAAAGAAACAAATAGAGCAGTTCACTCTTCCAGTAGCTGGGCTATTCTTCCCACTATGCAGATGAGGCTGACACTGGGAAATGATTTAAGCACTCGGTGTTAGTGTCTGAAGTCCAGGAGACCCCAATGGGCCCTCTCCTCTTAAATTCTGCAGTCAAACTTAGAGAGCTTGATACTTTTCCATCACAGAAGGAAACAAACAGAATGAAAGAATGAGCAAGGAATTGTGTCCCCCAAAGAGATATTTTGAAGTCCTAACCCATAGGACTTATTTGGAAAGAGGTCTTCACAGATGTAATCAAGCTAAGATGAGGTCATATGTGATTCAAATGGGTCATAGTCCAATGACTGATGTCCTTGTAAGAGGACATTTGGAAACACAGGGGAGAATGCTATCAGAAAATGGGGGCAGAGATTGGAGCGATGAGTCTACAAGCCAAGGAAGACCAAGAATTGCTGGCAAACACCAGGAGCTAAGTGAGAGGCCGGGAACAGATTCTGCCTCAGAATCGCCACATTGCTGACACCTGGACTTCAAACTTCTAAGCCTTCAGAACTGTGAGATGATGTCTTCCTGTTATTTTAAGCCACCCCATTTGTGGTCATTTGCTACAGCAGCTGCTGGGAATTCATACAGTGGTGCGGCATGTTGTGCTCCCAGCCCATTCCATCCCTCTTGGCTCCCACACTAATCAGATTAATCCCAGCTTGGAGAACTCAGAACTTCCATCTGAAATGCCTGGGCTTTCAGAAAAGGTTCTTTGGTCAAAGCCACAGGCTAGGTAAGAGGAAAGTGGAAGTCCTCTGTGGTTTAAATGCAAGTCTCACATAACCAGGAGCAGAAGGTAACAAGATATGCAATTACTGCAGCATCCTAATTGCACCTGGGATGCAGCTGACAAAAGTGTGGAGGTGAATTCACAAATATCCTCGGCTTCTTCACAATGAGATCCCCACTAATGATGCTCTATAGTCTGACCTCTGCTATGAGCACTGTACTGAAACACTTCCTCCAAGGACAGATGTGTTTTCATGGTCAGGTCATGCAGGTTGTCTCATCCTCAGTGACCACTCAGCAGCACAGGACATCACTGCTCTTCAGTCCATGAGGCTGAACCACCTCTGTCAGTGCGGCCCGAGGTAACCTCTTTATATCCAACCTCTAGAACCACTTACTTTCTGTCCTTTTCTGACCTCCTCTTGGAATATGCAGACAGCCCTTACAATTTAATCACTGGCCCTTACTACTTGTCTATCTCCCTTGTCAGATAATATGCTCACTCCCAACATAATACGCAACCTGATTATAAACTTGGGCTCTGGAGTTATGGCAGTCTGAGTTTGAATTTCAGCTCTGTTGCTTAACAATTGTGAGACGCGGACAACACATCTCAGATTTAGTTTCATTATTAATTAAATAGGAATAATAATATCTGCCATATACGCTTGTCCTGAGGATTAAGGGAAATAACATAGGTTAAATGCCTTTTCATAAGTATTATTTATATGCATAAACGTATATGTTTATAATTATTTGGTTAAGAATAAACCATTTAATTTAAGCATGTGAATAATAGAGAATTCTTGCAGTGGAAAAACAATTTAACCTAACATAGATTTTACAAGCACTGAATTGAGCATGTATTGATTCTGATTTAATAGTTTTCATATTTTGGTACCATACTAATACTAACACTAACACTAATGCTAATTACTATTACATTCATTTCTCATATATCTCTGTGTACCCTTGAGAAAGCCCTTCACACAGGCTGTGGGCCTTCCACAAGCCAGGATAAAATAGCCCCAGTCTTGAGGTAACAAGTTCAAGACCATACTGGCCATTTATAGCCAGTCTCTAAACTAAAAAAGTCTTGAATTTATTAATTTCCCTCTAAGTGAGCTCTTTTAAGGCAAATTACATAAGCTCAACGTTTCTAGTAGTTAAACAGAAGCATTAATGACCTACCTACCTCAGGGGACTATTGAGAAGATACTGATATGAACATTTGGTAAGCAAGAAGCTTGTCTCTTCCCTGCTCCTCCTGATGCCCACAAATAATCAGGATAGCAAAGTGCACAGTGTCACAGTATGTCTCTTCTCCCTGCTGCTGCCATATCCAGCTGGTCACAAGTCCTATTAATGTCCTTGTTCATGGTTTCCAATCACACTGCCATTAACCTAGTTTAGGTCCTTAGTAATTCATGCCTGGACTCAACCAACCCAATTTCTAAGTTACCAAGACCTCTTCCCACCTTTACTTTTCTAAAACCACTCTAATCATGTTATTTAATCTCAAAGCTCCACCTTGGTCTCTGGGGACCATCTACTGCCTCCTGGTGTGGACTGCCTGCAGAGCTGGCTGCTCCCTGGCTTTTCCTGCCTTTTCTCCTGCTGCCTTTCTCCCTGCAGCATCCCGTCTGCCAGGCGCCCTTGGACATGCCCTGTTTTCATTTTAGATTATCTTCCTAATCTCTTTCCATTCTGTTCCCTCTCCCAAATCTTTCTATCTACGGAAATCCTGTCCTTCTAAGAGAAGATATGGCACAGAAAAGAAAATATAAATGGCCACTTGTGTGGAAAAAATGCTCAATCTCACTAGTAGTCAAGTAATGGAAAATATATCATGTGTTGCTCATAATATTGTTAAAAAAGATGATACTTCTTTCTAGGAGAAAGTGGAGGAGGAGAAGAAGGGGAAGGAGATGAAGATGAAGAAGACAAAGGTGGCTAGTAAAGTTTAATATTTGAAAGGCTAATAATGTTTAATACTTAAAAGACCATCACAATCGGCAGGAATGACGGAGAATGTCTGCGCTCTTTTTCAAAAACAATTTTATGGTGCCTACTTGGCTTCAAAGGTGTGCCTATCTTTAGACCCAACAACCTTTCTTCTAATAACCGTTCTTACAGAACTAAGAAGGGCAGTATCAAAGATATACGTACAGGATGCTTACTGCCACACAAAATTACAAAAGGAGATAAATGAAAACCTAGAAGTACAGACAGATAGACTAATGACAAAGAATGTTTCCTAGAACCATTTTTGATTCTTGTGGGTGCAGGATCTCTAACCCAAACCCACACCTATCCAACTTCCACATAGCCCCCAGATACCCCATTGTACCCAGCATAAGACCCTGTAGCACTGTCCCCAGCCATCTATCCACACACACCCACTAAAGAGTTGCCCATCAGAACCCTTCTCCCTCAGCCTCTGCTGCCTCTAACGCTGGCACGAGTACAAGCAGAACAGGGACCTCACATATCTGTCTCACTAGTTGTTTTCTGAGCTAGTTCAAGGATGAGTTGAATATATTTTACATCCACCTAGAAGAATGTCCTAGATACATTTCAAGTGAAAATTTCAAGTCACTATGATATGCAGAACATGAAGTCATTTTTGTATGGGCAAAGATAATAGTAATAGTTGTAATTAGTAGTGGTAGTAATTATTATTAGTAGTAGTAACAACACAATGCTTACCAGGTTCCTGGCATTACTACACGTGATTTCTGTAACTTATTTAATGCTGACAATAAACCTATGAGATATTTACTATCACTATCCCCATTTTATGGATGGGCAAAACAAAAACTCCAAAATCATAATGCCCAGAGAATTAATTATTTGCTCAAAATCACACAGGTGCTAAGTGGTGGTGGATCTAGGATTCAAATCCAGGAAACCCAGTGCTGGAGTCCATACTCTTAAGCACCAGGAATACATAAGTACCTGTTACATACCAGGCTTTTATATGCATTGAAAATCTATGGAGGCCACATTTCAACATAATCACATTGATTACATTAGGAAGGAAAGAGGTGAACCATTTTCTCTGTCTTTATACAAATCTGCATCCTTTGAATTGTTGTATGTATTGCTACTACAATGAGAAACAACACCGAGTTAATACAAATTCAGTTAAGCATGTAAACACACATTAAAAGATTAGGTACAGTTTTTACATGATGAGGTAGACTGATCAACTGATCCTGGCTCACTGGACCTAAAAGGTCTTCCTCCATCTCTGATCAGGTTGTGCATCTGCCCATCTATAAATTTGATTTCCTCCTCTATGGGGGTCCCTTGAACTCTGCAGCTGGTTGTGTCCCCACTTTAACCAGCTATCAGTGACTCCATCACTTGACTTTTGAACCAAATGCTCCCTCTCTATGCCCGAATCCATGTTTGTCCTCCAAGCTTGGTGAGCTCAAATGAATAAAACCTGGGGGAAATGTCCTTTCATTTCTCTCCCTAACCCCTCCCATGCTTCCTGCTTTCTTTCTCCTGGGCCCACCTCTGGCCCCTTTTAGCTTGCTGGAACCAAAGCCAACTCCAAAGCAGAAAGTATTGAAGGCACAACCTGTAACTCAGGGAGAGAGCAGAGCTTCCACTCCCACCACAGAGCAGCGCCATGGCTCGTAAACCTGGTTTTCCCTTTGAGAGATGCGTGGAAGGGCAGGTGGATGGAGGGCCATGCTGGATGCTGCACCACCCATATCCCGTATGGTAGTGTGATTTCAAATCCTGAAACTAGAGTAAGTGTCTGAGGCCAGAGTATACATTTTATTCTTTGGATGAATAGACATTCCATGTCTGGATGATTAAATGACAGATGAGGGTATAAGGGTAAACCCAGGATCATTTTTTCAGCAACTAGCTAGCCTGACCTCGAAAACTGGTTTATATTACACACATTCAATTCCATAGGTCTTCTCTCCTTCATGCTGTTTTTTTCTCATGAACCTTCTGTTTCTTTTCCTTTCTATATCCAGTGTCTTTTCCAAGACATCGGGCTAGTTCAACCCCTTTTTTGAATTCTGTCCTAGACATTCCCAGCTCAGTCTTATTTTTCACTTAAGATTGTTTAATTCATACACCTGTAAGAATATGGAATACATGTGGAGGGATATAGATGGTAATAATAAAACAATCTGAAAAATTAAACAAACTCCCATATACCTACCATTCAGCTTAAAAAATAGACCTTTACCACCATCTTTGAAGCCCCTCCTGTGATCCTCCCCATTCAGCCCCTCTACCATCCCCATAGGAGTAAGCAGGGTTGGAGTCTTTGCTTCTTCTAGTCCTCTATTTCTACCTTACCGAACTGCCTTCTTAATTCTCAAGTTCCCCAGAGGCTCTGTCTTTCTCTTACTCCTATTCTCTCACTTCTCTCCTAGGTCACTCAAGAGGATGACATAATTGAGGAGCACAAGCCCAGGAGTGAGAAGACCTGGGTATTATTACCTTTTTAAATGTGGGCGCTGCCTACCCCCCAGCTGTTGATCTGCGTGCCTCAGGGAGTATTCTATCAAATGCACAGTGTGTGAGAAGGGATGTTCTAAACTCCCAGAGGCTGTCAGCACTCAGCTTGGAGTCTGGCGGGGCTCCACTCTCTTCTTTCCTCCCAGGCCCAAAGCCAGTCTGCAAAGAGCACAACGGTGACGTCTGAGAAGGGAGGGGGCTGGGGAGTGGGGGGCAGCCGGCAGGGAGGAGGGGAGCTCCTCCATGCGCGTAAACACACACACACACACACACACACACGAACGCTCACTCAAGTCTCCAGGGGCCAGTGCCAGTGGGAGATAGAGCTCAGTCCCAAAGCCAGTGTTCACAAAGATCAAAGGGCAGTAGGACAGTAGGCCACAAGTAATGCTCTGTCACCAGCTACCCGCGACCCTGCTCAAGCCCCGGGCCTTCTCATCCGACAAAGCAGCGGATTAGACGCGGTTCTCTAGGTCAGGCCCTCAGGTAACTCAACCACACAAAGCAAGCACACACAAACATCAGATGTCAGAACCTGGAGAGGAGGAGCAATGCGGCAGGGGGATGCGGGACCCAAGCGCAGAGGAAAATCACCAGCAGAAATACGGACACAAAGGGGATTCTCTGTCCCCGATGATTTCTGATTTCGGCACACCCAGACCCACGGCGCACCCATCGCGCCCCGCACCCCCGCCCCGGCCTCCCGCCCTGCCCTCCCCCCCGCAGCACCCAGGCCGAGTCCACCGTTGCTGGCCCCTTCTCCAGCCTGCCAGGCTTTTGGAGAGGGCCACTCACCAGGTCACCCTGCGATTTCCACGGGGGCAGGTGGGAGCGGGCAGAGCCTGGCGCAGAGAGGAATGCACAGGGAAGAGGCTTCCCTGTACCAGTGACTGGGCGACCGAGCCGGGATTTGGGAGCGGGGAGGAGGCTGGAGCTGGAGGAGAGGAGGGGTTTCCACGGGAGTCCCCTCCTCCCCACTTCCTCCCAGGCTGGAGTGGGAGCTCCAGGGGGCGGCGCTTGGCGGGGGACAGCGCTTCTTTGTGTCGCCGGCCCTGGTGGCTTGGCATTGCTGTGGCTTAGGGACGCCTGGAGACCCCATCCTGGCAGTGTGGACGGCTGTTTCATTAAAGATACAAACTTCTCTGACTCTACATTAGTAAGGGAAAGGCTGAGCAAATTGTGGGACAAACATTCTGCTTAGTATTATTCAGTTCTTAGGAAGAGCTTGAATCTCCATTTAGTCGGTGAATATACCGTGATATATTGCCAAGGGGAAAATACAAATTGTAGAAATTGTTGAATATGCTTTTGTTTTTATAGGAAAAACAAACCCCGTATATATTTGTATTATGGTGGGGAGAAGGGAAGGCTACATTTCTACCCATTAATATTGTTTAACTTGAGAAATAGGAGAGGTGCAACTTTTTATATAACTCTGCACTGTTTGCAGTTACGTGTCTTACTTTTGTAAATTAAAAATAATATACAGTTCAAACAATAGTTAACCAAAATGTATTTTTCGGTGTACAGTTCAAATCGCATTTCTTTCTTTCCTTTTTCTTTTTTTTTTTTTTTTTTTTTTTGAGACGGAGTCTCGCTCTGTCGCCCAGGCTGCAGTGCAATGGCGCGATCTCGGCTCACTGCAACCTCCGCCTCCCGAGTTCAAGAGATTCTCCTGCCTCAGCCTCCCAAATAGCTGGGATTACAGGCGCCCGCCATCACGCCTGGCTAATTTTTTTATTTTTGTAGAGACGGGATTTCACCATGTTGGCCAGGCTGATCTCAAATCACTGACCTCAAGTGATCCGCCCGCCTCGGCCTCCCAAAGTGTTGGGATTACAGGCGTGAGCCACCATCGTGCCCGCTCCCCATTTCTTTCCTTTATGATATCAGCTGAGAGCTGCTCCTCTCTCTTGTGTATGTGGCCACTTCACCTTTCTCACAGGTGCTGGCTCCAGCATGGGAAATGCAGGGTGGTGACAGGGACCCAGACTAAGTGGACTGGATTCAAATCCCAGAGCTACACTTTACCAACGGTGTGACTTTGGGGAAGTTACCTAATTCCTCTGTGCCTCAGTGTTATTACCTATACAACGGGGATGAGAAAAGTAATACCTATACTAAGCCTTATTATAAGGCTTAAGTTAGGTGAGTTTATGCTTGTAAAGTTCTTGAATCAATGTCTGGTATACGGTAAGACTGGATGAGTGCCTCATAAATAAATATTCAAATCATCCTAAAATTCAATATTTCATATTTCAGGAAAATGCATACCTTTTAATCCTAACTGGGGTTTGAGTCCCAACCCAAGCCATACTCCCTTTCCCCATCTCCCTTCAACTCCCTTTCTCCAAATTGGATCATTAGGAACAAGTCAGAAGGCCATGTAGATAGGTGAGCTCCGCGGCAGGTTTTATGTAAAGGAAATGGCAGGGAGAGAAATCAAGAGAACCTGAATTCAAGATTCTGCCAAGTCAAGGCCCACCTGAGAGACAGTGAGCACATCTTTTATCTTCTCCAGTGTTCAGATTTTTCAGCTAAATGAAGCGGGCTAGTGACTGGCACTCACTAAGTCCCTTCCGGGTCTGCAATGTCAGGACTAACAGCACCGCAAGTTAAAACCCTGTAATACTGAATCTCGTGCAAAAATTTTAAATTCAGAACAAAAACGCATACCTAAAAATAAACATTAATAATAAAGGACAAAATATACAAGGTAAGGGATGCAAGCTAACTTACCTCTCAGGATGGGGGCATGAGATTTGGTGGGGGGAAGGGGTTTTTAAGTGTTTTATTTCTTAGAAAGAAAGGGGGGTGGAGGAAGAGAGGGAGCGCTGAAGCAAAGGTGATAAAATGTCAGCATATAATAAATCTGTCATATTATCTCCTGCGCGTAGCTTTGAAATATATTTCATAATAAAATAAAATATGTTGCTGGTTATGTTCCTGGAGAAGAAATGCAGTATGAAAGAAATAAGAGACTGGTAGAAAGAAGCTGAAATAGAAACAGCAATGGAGAAAGCGCAGGCAACCCTTTTTGAAAGACATCTACCTCCCTGGACCCAAAACCCAAGGGGGTCCCAGGCCAAAAACGCGACCACTTTGGCAGCCCCGCGTGCGCCCCCCTCGGCCGCGCTCCCCAAGGACCCCGACCCAGTGCCTCCTTCTCCCACCCGCACCTCAGCGGACTGCATCGGGAGCCGCCCCTGAATTGGTCCGTGTGCCCGGGCCTGGTCTGGTCCCCGAAACCAGCTTTGGACGAGACTCACCCTTTCGTCCAGCAATTTCCACACCAGGCTACTTTGGAGTGGGGAGTCTTCCACAGAGATGTGGGAAGGCGCTGGGGCAGACGCCTTGGGAATTTGCAAATTGGTAGTGAAGTGGCTAGGAGGAGGCGTGTGGGGGGAGGTGGGCTGCAGTGCAGACGGTTGGGGGTTGGGGCGTCCCCGGGAGCTGATTGGCTGCCGCGGGTGGAGGCGGAGCTTGGCCGCCGCCCCCGGACCGCAGAGGCCCGGCTTTGTGTCAGTTTCTACCCCAAGATGCCGCCCCAGATCCGGGATGGAGACCCAGACGCCCGCCCTCAGAGTGCAGCAGGACGATTTGTTTCAAAGTAAATCGTTGAGACTGTTCATTAACAAGGGAGCGATGGATAAATAATGATGATCTCTGTGTAAAATAATATACAACTATTTCCAAGGATGGGTTAAATCTACTTATATAAATCTACTTATATATTGCCTCTATCTATATATTTATATATTATTTTTAAAATAAACATCTAACATAGTAAAAAACGTTCCATTTTGTGTAAAAAAAACTTCAAAACTGTTCATATGTACTTATATAAACACAGAAATTGTATGGAAGATAAACTATTAGAACCAGTTACTTCAGACAGGAAAGTGGATTACTTGTTATTTTTTTCTTGATACACCTCATTAGCGTTTCAATAGTCACACGTATTATTTTGTAATAAAAATAAATTTAATCAACTAAAAAACTACATAAAATATCCTCACCCAAGCAGCTGGCAGCGGCTTCTCTACAAATATGATTTCTCCCTGTGGAGAACTTTGTTGCTAGTTCTGATCCATGTTATTTGAGTGGAACACGAGACTTGACCATGGAGCAGGAACTGGCTTTATGCCTGACCAGGTCCTGCACTCGCATCTACTCATCTAACCTGGAGAGCTCAACTGTAAAACCTGGAGGAACCACTCATCTCTTTTTATGGCTGGTCCCCAGGGCCCCAGGGAGATTTGCATGGCCCCTGTCCTGTCTCCAGATTCCTCACCCCTCACTGCCCTGGCCCCTGTTTGCTGGGTACCTAAGGAAGGGTTGTCCTGGGACCAAACTGTTCTCTGGAAGAGACCATCACAAAGCTTTCTCCCTTACTACAAAAGTGTAGTGTCCAGAGTGGACCTTCCAGGGGAAGGTGGCTTCAGTGGTGAAAGGGACAGGGTACGACATCCCATATAAATTAAGGGTTTCATTTCAACTGCTCCAACTACAGGAAGCATAGGTTAAGAACTCTATTTTATTCTTTCTATTCCCCACTTCAACTAGGTCACAAACAGGTGCTCTGTAATGTCCACTGGATGGATGGATGAAATGGGGTAAGAAAGAAAATCCTTAGGATCATTCCTCAAAAAAACAAACAGCAGCCTAAAGCAGAAAATGGATGAAATTACACACCTCCTGTGCTGTAAGTAAGTTTTCTCCTTCCTTCATGCTCTTTTAATGCTTCCTCAAATTTTACCTTTTTTTTTTTTTTTTTTTTTTTGAGACAGGGTCTTGTGCTGGAGTGCAGTGGAGCGAGGCTCACTGCAACCTCGAACTCCTGGGCTCAATCGATCCGCCCACCTCAGCCTCCCCAATAGCTGGGACTACAGATGTGCGCGCCATCATGCCCAGGGAGTTTTTGTATTTTTTTTTTTTTTTTTTTCTGTAGAGATGGGGTCTCACTTTGTTGCCCAGACTGGTCTTGAAGTCCTGGGCTCAAGTGATCCTCCTGCTTCCGCTCCCAAAGTACTGGGATTACAGGCATAAGCCACCCTGTCTGGCTGCTTCCTCAAATTTTGAGCTGGTTCTATCTCCTCTTTCTCAGTCTCAGACACCACATTATAAGCTAAATTTTAAATGCTGGATCCTTTCTTATTTCTACTTCCCCTTGAGTTTGTTTTCCTTTCTAATGTTCTGCCTGGAGTAGCTCTGAGTAACGAAGACTGCTATGAAATCCTGAAAGTATTCAAATAACTTTTGAGATACTAAGTTTGGTAAATATTCTGAAACATGTGAATAAATGAACAATTAAAAATCCATATCAAAAATATTACGCAATTCTTTAAAATGAGCTCAATTCATACCTTGAGAAATTGTCTTAATGTATATTTTCAGCAATAAAAGTATGATCCTACTTTTTGCAGGGAAAAAATTCTATAATTGCGTGTTTATGTTTAAGCACAGAAAACATAAGGACAAATTTGGCTACTTCAGGAAGTGGGGGAGGGTTGAGCAGTAATTTTTTTCTTTAGACACTTTGGATTTTGAAAATGTTACAAGTATTATTTTGCAACGCAAAATAAGACTATTATTCAGTAATACCACTTTTAGGTGTGTACCCAATATACACATTTTCACTGAAGGACACGTACTGGAATCCTCAAAGTGTCACCATCCAAGGTAGTCTAAAACTGGAAACTACTCAAATCCTATCCTCCCTGCTTTCTCAGCTCTAATCCACCCTGCTCTCTATCAGCTGGGTACCATCAACAGTAGAATGTTTAAATAAATTGTGGCATATTCACAATGAAATATGGTACAGCAATGAGAATGAATGATTTGCATTTTTCACAATATAGCTGAATCTCACCAACATACTGTAGTGAACTAAGCCAGAAACAAGAGAGTACATACTATATTGTTATATTTACATAAATATAAAAACAGGTGAAACTAATATTTGATATTAAGACTTAGAATAATATTTACTCTTGGGCCAGGTAGTGACTAGAGAGGAACACAAAGGCGACTTCTGGGTTACTGGTAATGTTCTCTTAATTAATTTAGGTGCTGGCCCAAGGTTGTGTTCAGTTTGTAAAAATGTATCAAGCTGTACATTTATGATATACTGATATATAATCACACATGCAAATATCTAACTTTAATAAGGTGTTAAAAATAATGTTTTAGTTCTAGGAATGTAGATAAATGTCCCAAAACATACTACTGATGCAAACAACATATATACACAAAATATTATAAATTCATCAATGAAATGATAGGAAAGTAGAGAGTACACAAAGCCAGAAACAAACTAAAAGCAGGAAACATTGAAGGAAGCAAGCATGAAAGCTGGCTCTCACCACAATGCTTCCACAAAACCCTGGAGAATGTATGGGGAGTGACTCTATGGGGTTTCCAGCCTAGGATATTAAGACCAAGCTCACAAAAAGAATATAATTAAAAATGACATCCCAGCACAAAGCTCACACACCAAAGGGGTATTCCAACAGGGTAAAGGTAAATAGGAAGTAAATTCATGTCACAGAAGAAATCAATGCAATTTGCTTGTCTTGACCCTGCTGAAAGATGAAGGGGAAAAAGATCAATGAGAATGAATAATCACAAACCAGTTTTCCATATAGGTTTGCAATATTAATTCATGCTACATCTGTGAATTCAAAAACCCTAAGCAAATAATTTGAGGTGGTCCCAATTTGCTAATGTATTCAATTGGAAGATGCACATGCATATCTTTTCTAGAGAAATTTAACTTTAATGTATCTAGAAATAATTTCTAGGACAAAAATTCACATGAAAGGAGAAGCTCACATTAATAATTTTTAAAACCACATAACACTCAGGAAATAAAGCACAATGAAAGACAGCCATTACAAACAAGAGAATCAGAAACAGGCAAAATTTAGATATCAGAATTACTAGTCACAGAACATAGAATAGCCATGTTTTGTACATTTGAAAAATAAAATAGAAACTAGAAACTTGAACAGAAAATAATTGTATTTATAAAAAAGAATCAAAACTAGAAATTAAAAAATAATTGAAATAAAATAGTTCAAAATAGAAATTTATTGAAGAGACTAAATAGAAGATTAAACAAAGTTGAAGAAAGAATTACTGAACTGGATCTGGAGTAGAGGAAATTATTCATAATTCAGTCTAAAATCGAAAAAATGATGGAAAATATGAAAAAGGATAGACGATATAGAGCATATAGTGAGAAGACCTAAGACACATCTGATCTGAGGTTCAAATAGATATAATAGAAAGATTGTGGGAGAGTTATTATTGAAAGAAATGATTGAATTTTCCAGAGATCTTGAAAGACACCAATCCTCAGATCCAGGGAGTCTAACAAATCCTAAAATGATAAAAAGAAATACTCATCTAAATATCTGTAGTGAATTAAAGAAGAGAAGACACCAAAGACATCTCAATTGGTTCAGCTTACACAATTCTGACTGAAAAATGAAAGTTGAGCAAACTCTCCACTTGATGGGATGCATCAAGATCAGCTGCAGAAAAGAGAAGAACTTTCAATGGAGATTTTAAACAAGTGAGATCAAGATTCTGAAGCATATCCTCAAAGAACTGTAACAGGAGAGGAAACATGGCTTTACCAGTATGATCCTGAAGACAAAGCAGAATCAAAGCAATGGCTACCAAGAGGCAGAAGTGGTCCAGTCAAAGCAAAAGCAGATGGGTCAAAAGCAAAGGCCATGGTGACAGTTTTTTGAGATGCTCAAGGTGTTTTGCTTGTTGACTTTCTGGAAGACCAAAGAATGATAACATTTGCTTATTACTGTAGTGCTCTGAGAAAGTCAGCCATAGCTTTAGCAGGAAAACACCCAGGAAAGCTTCACCAGACAGTCCTCCTCCACGATGGCAATGACTTTGCCCATTCCTCTCATCAACTAAGGGCAATTTTGAGTTTCAATGGGGAATCATTAGGCATCCACCTTAGAGTCCTGATTTGGCTCCTTCTGACTTCGTTTCCTAATCTCAAAAAATCTGTGAAGGGCACCCATTTTTCTTTTTTTTTTGAGACGGAGTCTCGCTCTGTTGCCCAGGCTGGAGTGCAGTGGCTCGATCTCGGCTCACTGCAAGTTCCGCCTCCCAGGTTCACGCCATTCTCCTGCCTCAGCCTCCCGAGTAGCTGGGACTACAGGCACCCGCCACCACACCCAGTTATTTTATTTTATTTTATTTTTTGTATTTTTAGTAGAGACAGGGTTTCACCATGTTAGCCAGGATGGTCTCGATTTCCTGACCTTGTGATCCGCCCGCCTCGGCCTCCCAAAGTGCTGGGAGAAGGGCACCCATTTTTGTTTGGTTAATAATGTAAAAATACTGTATCTACATGGCTAAATTCCTAGGACCTTCAGTTTCTTAGTGATGGACTAAATTGCTGTTATCACTGCTTACAAAAGTGTCTTGAACTTGAAGGGGCTTATGTTGAGGCAACATTTATTTTTCAAAAAATTTTTAATTCCATTATTCCCACAAACTTCTTGAAATTCCCTCATATCTTTGGAATAATCCTCCCATTGGAAACAATAATAAAAGCTCAACAAAATATAGGAAACCAACTGAAGACTCAGAAAAGTAAACAACATAAACAGGACAAAAGGACTATAATCCTTGATGAACAGAAAACACAGGACATGAGTTGTATATTCGCTATTGCTTTTTACTTTCGGGCATTTTTCATTTTACAGTGCAGGGTTACTGAGGCTGAAAAGGAAGTGTCAGTCTTACTGGTTCAAGACTATCAAACCAGGTGGAGCTCAAAGGGCAAAGTTTCAGACATGAAGAAACCAGACAAGTTAATCTAAAATTTTATATATGAATTCCCCTAATGTCACTGGCTGATTCCTAAGCTATGCATGCAATAGGAGAGACCTCAAGGAAACTTGTAGGAAATAGTGGCCAAAGAGCTAAACAGTTGAGCAGTCATTTCAGTGGTTATATTGTTCTGAGAAAAGCAATGGAGTTTATGCCCCAACAAAAAGAAACATTCTAATAAACACTCCATGATTTCAGTTGACACATAAGAAAATCCCTGACATATGAAGAAGCATATCTTATGGTTTAAAGACTATGTTCTTGGAGAAAGATCAAACCTTAAATGGGCTAGTCCTAACAAAGCCTAAAACTAATATTTGATAGCATCAAAGTAATCTGCTGGTACTTTATCTGCCCACTTCCCCAAAAAATCCTCTTGAAAGAAAATAACATCAATCAAAACCTTTATATTTTTTCATCCACAATATTCTGCATTGAATCAAAAATTAGGAAAGCAGTTAAAAAAACAGAATAAGTTGCCAATAACTCAAGAGAAATAACAGAAAATAAACACAGGCACAAGTGGTTCAGATACTTGAGTTCTTAGAGAACTTAACTGTGATTCATACGTTAAGAAATTAGAAACAAGGCTGTGGAATTTCAGCATAGAAATAAAACTCATAAAAAAGTAAAATGAAAAATTAAAAAAGAAAAATAATAATAATTAAAATTGGTACTTAATAGATTGCTTTAATAGCATATTAGACACAAAAGACCAGAGAATTGGTGAAGTATAGCAAAGGTAAGTAGAAAGTATCCATACATAACATAAGAGGAAAGAAAACATGATACACAAAGAGATCAAAAGATACAGAAAGAGTGTAACAGGATTATGAGATAGGGTGAAAAGTTGTGACACATGAGTAATCACAGTCCCAGACGGAAAGGAAGGAGATAATAAAACAAGCAAAATGTTATCAATTAATGATTTGAAAAACATCAAACCACAAGCTGAAGAAACTTTATGTTCCCCGAGCAGAATACACAGAAAGAAAACTACATTGAGACACATCACATTCAAACTGCTGAAAACCAAATTCATAGAGAAAATCTGAAAAGCAGCCAGAGATAAAGGATACTTTTCATTTAAATGAACAAAAAATACAGCTAATTTTTCAAAAGAGTGATGAAAATAAGAACACAACAGAATTCCTAAAAGATGAAAGAAAAAGAAAAATCTGCCAACCTAAAATTCTATACACAAGAAAAATATTCCTCAAAAATAAAGGCAATGTAATTTTAGATACACTAAAGCTGAAAGCATTTTCCACTAGAATATAACTACTAAAACTAATTTTTTATGAAAATTATTCCTCATAGAAGTACAGTGCTGTAGGAATTAATAGAGAACACTGAAAAGAGTAAATACATAGGCAAATATAAATGAATATTGACTGTTTAAATAAACAAAATGCCTTATGGAATACAGAAGCATATAAAAAATAAAACAGACAATAGTACAGCTGCAAGATGGAGATAAACTTAAAATTTTGCATTGAGAATACATAGAAGTAATAATTTAAGGTAGGTCATAATAAATCAATAAGGTGAACTGTAATATCTAAAGTAACCATTAAAATAATTTAAAAAATTATAATTCAAAATATTGAAGAAAAATTAATAGAAAGTGTTGAATTCGAAAGAAATCAAGAAAAGAGAAAATAACAAAGAAGAAATGGAACAAAGAGAAAACTGTGCAAATTGGTAGACTTTAACCCAATTTTTTTTTTTTTTTTTTTGGAGAAGGAGTGTCACCGTTGCCAGGCTAGATTGCAGTGGTGCGATCTTGGCTCACTGCTGCCTCGGCTCACTGCAACCTTGCTTAAACCCAATATTTATAGATTGCATGTTTGTGTCCCTCCAAAATTTGTATGTTGAAATTCTAACCCCCAATGGAATGGTATTAGGAAGTGGGCCTTTGGGAGGTAATTAGATGTAGATGATGTCATGAGTGTGAAACACTCATAATGGGATTAGTATCTTTATAAGACGAGAACGAGACTAGAGCTCCCTCTCTTGGCCATGTGAAAATACAGTGAGAAAGGTAGCTGTCTATAAGCTAGGAGGCCAGCCCTCACCAGACATTAAATCTGCTGGTTTATCTTTAAATGTTTGTTGTTTAACCACCAGTCTATCACATTTGTGTCACAGCAGCCCAAAACAACTAAGATACCAACTATATAAATAATTATACTAAATATAAATGGATTAAAAATCCAATTAGAAAAAGAGTTCATTTAGAAGAGAAATATTGAAAGTGAAAGGATGGAAAAAGGTACACCAAGCAAACATTAACCAAAAGAAAGCTAGTATGGCTTATGTACAATGGGCAAAGTAAACATTACTGTCAGCAAGTGTTACTGTAGATATAAAACAAATTTCATAATGATAAAAGGATCAATTCAGTACAGCAATACAAAAATTTTAAATTTGTATCCTTAATAACTTCAAAATTTATAAAGCAAAGTTGACAATAATAAAAGAAGAAAAGACAAGTCCACAAGCATAGTTGAAGATTTAAGTACATTTTTCTCAGTAATCTGAATAAACAAGTGCATAAAAATCAGTAAGGATATACATGATTTGAATAACATAATTAACAAATTTGACCCTGTTGACACATATGGTACATATACACCTACCAACAACAGAATATACATGATTTTTAGTGCGTGTCAAACATTTTCTCAAATAAAACATATACTGGGTATGAAGCAAGTCTCAAGAAACTCAAAAAGATGTAGAATATATTCTCTGATCTTAATGGAATTAAACCAGAAATAAATAATTTTTATTTATTTAATTAGAAAATTCCCACGTTTGGAAATTAAGGATCACACTTCTGAACACCCCTTAGGTCAGAGAAGAAATCACAATGGAAATTAGAAAATATCTTAACTAAATAATAATTAAAATACAATTTATCAAAATTTGCAGGAGGCAGCAAAAGCAATTACTTAATAAAGGAATTACTTAATAAAGGAAAACTCTATAGCTCTAAATGCATACATTAATAAAAGGGAAAGACTGAAAGTAAACTATTTCAAAACATTAGAAAAAGAATAACAAATTTAAAGTAAATCAGAGAATATAATAAACATAAAAGCAAGAATCAAATTTTAAAAAATTTAGAAATTCAGTAAAACCAAAAGTTGGTTTTAATGAACCAAACTAAGAATGATCAATAAAGAGACACAGAGAGAGAATCCATTATAATTATCAGGGGACATTATTGCAGTCCCAAAAGACATTAAAAATATAACAAAGTGATATTACAAGTAATCATATGCCAATAAATTTAACAAACTCAGATGAATTTGCAAATTGTTTAAACAACATAATTTATCCAAAACAGCAAGAAGAAGCAGAAAATATAAATAATCCTATACATAAAAAAAATGCAGTCCAAAATCAAAAACATTCTGCAAAAAAGTTTAGTCCCAAAAGGATTTTTATGGTGAATTTTTCTAAACACTTGAGAAAAATATAATACTAATATCATAAAACTTCTTCCAGAGACTAGTAAATGAAGAAACTCTTCCCAACTCATTTTTATTACACCCAGCATAACTTTGATAGCAAAATCTCGTAAGTACATTATAAGAACAAAAACCTAGAGACGAATATTACTCAATGAACATAGATTCAAAAAGTCTAATGGTGTGAAATGCCTTTTCAATAAGTAGTTCTTGATTGATTAGATGTCTATATAAAAACCAATGAACCCTTAACCCATACCTCATATCATATACAAAAAATACTCTGAGATAAATTATAAAACTAAATGTGAATGGTAGAACTATTAAGCATAAGGAATCTTTTTGTGACCTAGAGGTAGGCAAAATTCTCGTCAATACAACTCAAGTCCTAAGCATAAATGTTTGGATTTATTAACAATAAAAATTAGATATTATAAAAATTAAATAAAGAGGTTCTTTTTATTAAAAGACATAATTACCAATGGGAAAAAGCAAGCCAAAGATTGGAAGAGGATATTTGCAAATCGCTGATACAAGAAAAAATATATATGCATATTCGGAATATAATTTAACACACTCACAAAATTAATTAAAAAAAGAAACCACCCCTTTACCCCCAAATAGACAAAATACATGTGCAGGTGCATCACAAAATATGGTATTCAAATGGCCAATAAGCATACAAAAAGATGCTTAATATAATTAGTCATCAAAGTAATACAAATTAAAACCATAATAAGATACCTATATCCATTTCACGTGGCTAAAATTAACTATAGTGACAATATCAAATTGTGATGAGGATCTGGAGCTGATGAACTTATATATATTTCTGATGGGAACATAAATCGATACAGCTATGTGGCAAAACTGTCTGACATTATTTAGGCTGACCAGATGTATGTTCATGAGAAGTAAGTTTTTATGTCTACCAAAGATATGTTCAAATGAGATTTATTTGTAATAGTCAGAAACACTGGAAAAAATAAATGTCCATCAACAGTAGAATGGATAATTTGTGATATACTTATACAATACTATAGAAAAAAAAGTACTGCTATATGCCACTATATGGAAGAATCTCATCGACCTAAAACTGCATAAAACAAACACAAAAGGATACCTGTTTATGACTCAATTTATGTGAAGATCAAGATTGGACCAATATATCATGACAGAGGTCTGAATAGTGGTTATTTTTGAGAGTGAAAATTACCTAGAGTAGGGAAAAACAAAGTCTTCTGAGGTGTTGTAAATCTATATCCTGATAGGACCATATACATATATAAAATTCACTGATCTGTACACTTATTATTTGTGAACCTAACTCTACGCACATTATAACTCAGGGTTTTTTTTTGTAAAAAGAAAAATCTGTAAACACATGTTGGTAAACATATATTTAATACACTGATGGTATTAAATAACAATAATCATTTGATACTTGCGGGGTAAGAGACAAGGTACTAAGGATCAATTTAACTTAAGTATGCTAAATTAAATCTGTTATAAAACTAGTTAAACATCTTAAAAATTAGGAATTATATGCGTTAAACCTATTATAAAATTAAAACATCAGAACTAAGACATGTAACTTCCAAATAAAAGAAAGAAAAAAATGGGCAAAGAAAGAAAGAAGGAAAAAAATGGGTGGGGGGAGGGGCAGGGAAAGAAACATAAAAGGCAGGAAAAATAAAAAGCAAATAATAAGATGGTAGAAATAAATCTAACTTTGTATTACTAATCACAATAAATATACACAGATTATTCAATGACAAGTTATAAATTGTCAAACAATATTTTAAAAATCCAGACTTTTAAAAAATCCAAATAAGTTTACTACATATATATTTAAAACAGATTCTGAAGAGTTAGAGTCAAACGATAAAAGAGAGATAAATGAGGCAAAAACCAAAGAAACCTTGATTTGATCTTTGAAAAAAATACGATTTTAAAACAGAAAACATTAATAGGTATCATAATGTAAGGTCCCTACATTATGATAAAATGTTCAATTTACAACAATTCACTGATAACATAGCCTCAAGATATATGAAGCAAAAATATATACATTTATGAGAAATTATCAAATCCACCATCATGGTGAGAATATTTAACATACCTATTTCTGTAATTGGCAACTCAAGCAAATAAAAAGTTAAAGATATGTAAGATTGGGTTGTATAATTAAAACAGTTGATACACAGAACATCATGTAATTACAGACTACACATTCTTTTTACGCACACAAAGAAAACTTACTGGGTTTTAAAGCTAGCTTCAGCGAATTTAAAAGAATTGGCACTATGCAATCTCTGACTACAATATAAATTAGGCAACTACAACTACAAGATAACAAAAGAAACTTCATATGGCCAAATGGAATTTAAAAGGTACATTTATAAAAAATTCATGTCTCAAAGAACAGACTATAAGGAAAATTATAAATAATTAAAGCTACATGGTCAAAAATAATCATATCAAAACTTGTCAGATGTAGCTAAAAAGTAGTGATAGAAATGTATAGCTTTAAAAGCTTACATAGGAAGAAAAGCTCAAAATTAATGAGCTAAGCATATAATTTAAAAGCTTAGAAAATAAATCACAGAAAAAATTCAAAGAAAGAAGAAAGTAATAAAATAGGTAAAAATTAGAAAAAGACATAAAGCTTTTATGTTGGTGTTTGAAAAACTAATAATGTAGACCATGTTCTGGAAAAATTAAAACAAAAAGAGAAAATGTACACATATTAACAATGAAAAAGTGGCCATATCAATAGATAATGGAAAGATTTATAAACAGAATGAGAGGATTTTATAAACAGTTTTATTTTGTTAATCTTGAATATATATATATATATATATATATATATATATATATATATATATATATATATATTCATATATAAACACTTCATCCTTGAATAATCCAGGTTTGAACCGCGTTGGTCTGGATTTTCTTCTGTCTCTGCCACCCCCAAAGACAGCAACACCAACTCCTCCCTTCCTCCTCATCCTTAGCCTACTCAATGTGAAGATGACAAGGAAGACCTTCATGATGATTCACTTTTACTTAATGAATGGTAAATATGTTTTCTCTTCCTTATGACTTTCTTAATAACATTTTCTTTTTCTCTAGTTAAGAATATAATGCATATATAAAACATGTGTTAATCAACTGCTTATGTTACTGGTAAGACTTCCACTCATTAGTAGGCTATTAGTATTGAGTTTTGTAGGACTCAAATGTTATATACAAATTTTCAATTCTGAGGGGGGTCAGTATCCCGACTGCTCCATTGTTCAATGGTCAAATGTATTTATATATATTGAATAAACATATACATGTACGTATACTGATACATTCATGTATATGTGAAATTGTTAAATATCTTGGAAAATACAATTTACTACAACTGACTCCATAGGAAAACCTAAATAGTACTATAATCATTAAAATCTTCTGAAAAAATACACTCCAAACACAGATGATTTTACAGGTGATTCAAGGAAATATTCAAGGACCAGATAATCCCAATCTTGCACAAATTCTTCCAAAGAATAGCATAAGGGAGAATACTATTCATATTATTTTATGATAATACCAGCATCAGAAAAGGATAGTACAGAAAAGTATAATTACATGCCAATCTTAAATCACACGTATAAATATAAATATCCAATGTTTACCTTTTGTATCTATATCCACATACAGAAATTACTACATATTTACCACAAAAGGTTTATTCCAAGAATACAAAATTGGTTTAATATCAGAAATTAAATACTATACTTTACTATGTTGTTAATATAGTTAAAGGAAAAAAAGTATATATATTCTCAACAGCTACAGGAAAAGCATTTGAAAAAACATCCATTTATAATAAAAGTGCTTACCAAAAGAAGAACAGAATTTTCTTATGATGGGGAAGACATTTACAAAGTAACTATAGCAAATGTCATTTTTAAGTTGACATAATGAAATATTTCTCATTATTATCTTAAGGACAAAACAAGATGCCCTTTATTACTTTTATTCAACAGTGTACTGGAGCTCCTAGTCATTGTCATAAGACAGAAAAAATAAATTGAAGGTATGAGAATTAGAAACGAATAAACAAAATTATCATTATTTTCGGATGATATGATTGCCTATGTAGCAAATCTGAAAGAAGCTACAGGTAAATTTAGAATTATTAATTTTCTCAAGTTTGATTGATATATAATTAATATATAAAAGGCAACTGAATTTCTGTATGCCAGCAACAATAAACTACAAAATATAACTTTTACAAAAGAAAATGCTTACAATAGCAGTAAAAATATGACGTGCCTAGAAATTTAACAAAAACTGAGCCAAAAGAAAACAATAAAAAATAGTACAAAACATTGAAGATGACTTAAATAGTGTCATATACCATGTTCATTGAGGAAAAGGGCCAATGTCTTAGAAATAATTTCTGCCCAAAATAATTTATAGAGTGCAATGGTTTGAATGTGTCCCTCAAAAAGCAGGTGTTGGAAACTTAATCCCCAATGCAATGGTGTTAAGAGGTGGGCTTAATGAGAGGCCATCAGGTCATGACAGCAGAGTGAATGAATTAATGCCATCACTGTAGGAGTGAGTTCATTATAAAAGGCGGCATTCACCCTCCTTTTACACTCTCTTTCAGCCTTTCTCTGCCTTTATGCCATGGAATGACACAGTAAGAAGGCTCTTTCTTGCCAGATGCCAGCCACTCAATCTTGGACTTCCCAGCCTCCAGAACTGTGAGCTGATAAATTTTTGTTCCTTATACATTACTCAGTCTCAGGTATTCTGCTATGGTAGCACAAAACAGACTAAGACACAGAGTTGATCCATTATCAATCAGAATTCCAACAGGTTTATTTGCTTGTTTGTTTCTTGTTTTGGAGAACTTGATAAGTTTATTTAAATATTTATATGGAAGGTCAAAGGTCCAAGTAAAGCTAAAACACTCTTAAAGAAGAAGAAACAGGTGATAGGACTTTTCCTACCAAATTTCAAGGCTTTTAATAAAACTATAGTGGTTAAAAATTATTTAGTATTGAGGCAGAGTTAGACAAATAGAAAATAAGAATGGGGGCTTAAAACGAATTCATGCTTATATGGAAATCCTGATTCATGCAAATCACTGGTGCTGGGGCAACAGATTATCCATATGGAATAAACAACATAAAAATCAGTTTCCATGTGGATTAAGACTAATTGCCAAAGGCAAAACTATAACACTTTTAGAAAACGATACACTAAAATTAATCTATGATCTTGAGAAAACAATTATCAAACAAGAAAAGCTATAAAAGAAAGTACTACTAACTTGAAATTAAATTCAAAACTTAGATTCATTGATAGAAACAGAGAAAGAAACAGATATAAAGACATAGAGAGAAAGAAAACCTCAAAAGCAAATTGGAAAGATGTCTGTGGCATATATAGCTAACAATTACTGCTTCGTACCCAGATTATATAAAGAAAGCATTCCAATGAGTCAATAAAAAAGGTAAACAAACAATCCAATACAAAAATGAAAGAGACAGGAATCAGAATTTCACAAAGAGAAAGCACTGATCAACATATAAAAAGTCAATCTCATTAGTTATGGAAAATGCTAGTTAAAATCACAGTTAAATGCTATTTCATACCTGCCAGACTGACAAAAAATGTAATTTTACAAGACTAAGCTGTGGCAAGCATGTAGAGCAACAAGAATGCTCATCCACTGCTGGAGGGAGTGCAAACTGGTTTAACACTTTGGAAAGTTTAGAAATGACCCAATAAAATTGAATACACATAAATCTTATAACTCCGCAATTCTACTCCCAGCTATATACTCTAGGGAAGCTCCCACACAAGTGTACTTGAATATTAGAGGACATGGGCAGGCTTTAAAGTGGCCCCGATAATCCCTGCCTCCAGGTGTTCATGTCCTTGTGTCACCCCCTTCCCTTCAGTGTGAGTTGGGCCTAGGGACTCACTTCTAATGAATATAAAATGGCAAAAATAATGGGATGTCGCTTCTGAGGTTACAGAAAGAATCTGACTTCTGTCTTTCTCTTTTTCTCTGTGGGAGCCTTCTCTCTGGGGGGAGTAAGCTGCCATGTTGCAACCATTCTTTATACAGAGGCCCATGTGGCAAAGAACTGATGTGTACAGCCAGGGTCAGTGAGGCCAATCGGCCTGCCAGCAGTCATGTGAGTAAGCCTGGGAGAGGTCCTCGACCCTACGCCTAGCCTTGAGATGACTGAGGCCCAGTCAATACCTTGATTGTTGATACAGCTTGTGAGAGACCCTGAGTCAGAGACTCCCAGCTAAGCCCCTCCTGGATTCCTGATCACAGAAACTGTAAGATAGGAGGTAACAGGACTTGTTTTGTTTGTTCGCTTTGGTTTGAAGCTGCTAGGTGTTGGGGTAATTTGTTACATAGCTTATAGATAAATCATACACCTCCAAAAGTAGAAACAATCCAATGTCCATCAGCAGTAGAATGGATAAATTATGTACATTTACACCTTAAATGACGAAAACGAAAATGGAAGGAAGCATGAAAGATGAATCTATAAAACTTAAGAATACGTACAGGATAATGTCATTAATATAATGTCATTATAATGAGAAAGCCAATACATATGTTTTAGGAATACACACACAAATATGGTAAAACTAAAAAGAAAAGCAAGGGATTCATTAAATTAAGACAAAAATCACGAAAGATGTCACATCTCAGAGAATGGAGGAGAATGGACCATGGGCATCAGTTGGGACTCATGGGCTTCTAAGGTACTGTGACGCCCTATTTCTTGACCCAAGGAGATGGTCAGGCATTCGTTTCATTATTTTTTAGACCATTCTGAGATATTTCATTTACTTTTTATTCAACATTTTAAAACAAAGTATTGAAACCAATTCATCAACAAATCACTAGTTTGGAGGATGAAAGTGATGGACCGATGGTTGGCTGGTCAGCTAGACAGACACATTCTGTCCTTTACGTCTAGTTCGAGCTGTACTTCTTCTAAATTTCCATGATTATCCAATTGGCAAAGATCTTTTTCTCCTGTACTTAAGGCCTTCTTCCGTTGCAGGTTGGGCCAAACTAGCGGCCAGCTCTCGGCTGTTTACCAGGGAACTGTATCACCCAGCACTTGCTGCTTCAGGCCAAATGCATTCCAGACTAACATTCAGCCTGAATCCCCGCGCCGCTCTCACCGCCACCCCTCCCCAGGTCCCTTCCCCCACCACAAACCCACACTGCGCCCGTGGGCGCCTAGAGCACTGGGGTGGATGAGAACTTCCACCTGGGCTTAACGGAGACAAGCTAGCCTAGAAGAATGCAAGCCCCCAGCTGGCGAGATCAAATCGCCTCGAGGGTTCCTGCTAGCTCAGATCTTAATGGCTCCTTGCGGAGCAAAAAACAAATCCTACGAAAATAGGGGGGGTCATCGCCTCCTGCCCAGCAGAGGGCATAACAATGCGGCGAGAATGAAATAGGCACCGAGCTGCAGAGAAAAATCATCAACGGGGTAGAGACGAAGGAAGGGATCCTCGGTGGAACGGCTCTATCACCTGGGGGCGCGCGCAGAGGCCGCAATCCACGCCCGGCCCTCCCCAGACGCTAAACGTCGCACCCCGCCCACCGCTCCCCGCCCCGGACACTAACCCGGGGCCCAGGCCTCGGTCACCGCGGGCCTCTCCTGGTCCAGAGTCTACGCTGAACCCCACTCACTGTTTGCCCCGCTGTTCCCTGCAGCGCGGGTTCGGGGCAGTAGCAACCTGCTAGGAGCGGGAGGCGGTTATTCCCAGGAGGAAGCAGCTTCTCCGCCCAGGAGGCAAAGGGCAGCGGGCTCGAAACTACAGGACTTGGAAAGTCTTAGGCGGAGACTGCGGGGGTGGGGGGTGGTGAGGAGGGGCCTTCCAGGGAGCTGATTGGTCGACGCGGACGGGGGCGGGACTTGGCCGGCGCCGTCCCTCCCCTAGACCTCAGAGGCCCTGCCCGCAGATGTGGCGCCAAATCCCGGATGCAGGCCTAGGCGCCAGCCCAGGAATATAGGGAGCAAATTGTTAAGAACAAAACAAAACAAAACAAAAGTGAGAATACTTCTGAACAAGTGACGGCCTTGATAAATAGCGAGAGATGTTTATATAAAATAATACAGGACTATTTTTAAGGACGAGTGAAATCTATCGGTTCTAGCTATAGTTTTTAATTAAAAAAGCAAGTTGTATTAAAATGGAGAGTAGGATCTCTCTTTCCCCCTCCCCTCCCCTCCCCTCCCCTCCCCTCCCCTCCCCTCCCCTCCAGGGGGAGGGTCTGCTTCTGCCACCCAGGCTGGAGTGCAGTGGTGCCATCACAGCTCACTGCAGCTTCAACCTCCCAGGCTCAAGCGATCCTTCCACCTCAGAGGCTGGGACCACAAGTGCGCCGCCACCACGCCCAGCTAACTTTTTGATTTTTTGTTAGAGACAGGGTTTTACTTTGTTGCCCAGGCTGGTCTCGAACGCCAGGGCTCAAGTGATCCTCCCGCCTCGGCCTCCCAAAGTGCTGGGATCACAGGCCTGAGCCACTGCATCAGCTTTAGCATTACATTCGTGTATGAAGAAGACATGCTGCATGTGCTTCTATAAGAGGCGGGGCTAACGGTGGAGAAATTGTCTATTGATTCTTACCTTCACAACCACTGAATTGTTTTTTTTTAAACCAATACATTGTTTTTATAAGTTTAATAAAACAGTAAGGCGTTGAGAATGTTACTAACCAATCAACAGATGACAGATATTGGGCATGAGGGAGGAAAGAAAGAAAGGAGTAGCAGGGAAAAAGCCTGGACTTTGAAGCCACCACATCCTCTGCTTACAAGTTGGGCAGTGTATTCATTGCTAAGGCTGCTGTGATAAATTTTCACACATTTAGTGGCTTAAAACAACACAGATTTACTACTATCTTCCAGGACTGTAGGTCCTGGAAGTCCAGCACAGGTCTCACTGGGCTATCATCCAGGTGTAGGCAGGGATGTGTTTCTCTTTGCAGGATCTAGGGACAAATCTATTTTCCTTGCTTTTTCCAGCTTCCAGAGGCTCCCGCATTCCCTGGCTTGCAGCCCTTTCCTTCATCTTCAAAGTCAGCAATCTCATGGCTCCAGCCTCTGCTTCTGTGTCACATCTCCTTCTTTGAGTCTCCTGCTTCCTTCTTTCACTTAGAAGGACCTTGTGATTACATTGTGCCTATCCAGATAATCTAGATAATTTCCCATCTCAAGGTCAGCTAATTAGCAGCCTTCATTCTGTCTGCAACCTTAATTCTCCCTTGCCATGTAGCATTGCGTATCACAAATTCTGGGAATTAGGATCTGGACATCTGTATTAATCCATTTTCACACTGCAGATAAAGACATTCCCCAGACTGGGCAATTTACAAAAGAAAGAGGTTTAATTGGACTCACAGTTTCACGTGGTTGGGGAGGCCTCACAATCATGGCAGAAGGCAAGGAGAAGCAAGTCACATCTTATGTGGATGGCGGCAGGCAAAGAGACAGCTTGTTCAGGGAAACTGCCGTTTTTAAAACCATCGGATCTCCTGCGACCTCTCCACTATCATGAGAACGGTTGGGGAAAGACCCACCCCCATGATTCAATCATCTCCCACCAGATCCCTCCCATAACACGTGGGAATTATGGGAGCTGCAAGATGAGATTTGGGTGGGGGCACATAGCCAAACCATATCAACATCTTTAGGGAGCTATTTTTCTGCCTATCACAGAGGGCTTGTTAACTTCTATCTTAGTGTTTTCATCTGTAACATTGGGGATAATAATTGTCTCTACTTCATGGAATTTTTATGAAGATTAAATGACTTAATACAGATAAAGCTCTTAAAGCAGTGTCTGGCACATGGAAAACCCTATGTGAATGTTCACCATTACCAGAGAATGGACAGATCCTTCCAGACTTCTTCCATGATTTCCTTGGCCCTTGTCTCCTTTGCTCTTCAAATCTCCAAGTTGTGTGTTCTCTCCTCATTTCCCTGCAAATCTAGTCTCCCCTCAAAACTACATAGGCCTAGCCTGAGATTGGAGGGCAGACATGGATGGGACTTTACTTCTAAGAGATTTCTAGAAGTGAATGCACCCAGCTACTAGCACAGAGGCATAGTTTATGACTACTATGGTGAAAGGAAAAACCAGCGTCTGGATGTGTTTGTGCAGTTAAATGGGGTGTCTGGGGGGAAACTGTGGGGGCAGGTGGGTGTTTGGGGATTGTAGACTGAGTGTGTCTGAAAGACCAGGATTGCTTGCAGTTACCTCTCTTTCTCATTCTCTCATTTCTCATTCTCTCTGCCAAGACAGCTGCACTTCTCTCTTGCCAGATCCCTTCTCCCCTCAGAAGCTGACAGTCAACAGGACATAAGCTTGCCCACCCCCACTCCCTCTCCAGGCACACAAGCAAAACCCACCATTTTTAGTTGCTGTTGTTTTTGCTGTGCAATTGGTCATAGAATTTCAGAGCTACAACATCTCATCCACTCTCCTCCTTTATATTAATACAAAAAGGAACACTGAAATGCAAGCAGCAGAAGGGGTTTGCAGCAGGTAGAGGTGGAGCATGACCTTGGAATTCAGATGCCAGCGCTCTTGCAGTACAAAGTCCTTGAGGCTGAGATCACTGGCTAGTCCTCTCGGCGCCTCATGTTTCTGTGTGTGTGTGTGTGTGTGTGTGTGTGTGTGTGTGTGTGTGTGTTTGTGTGTGTATATGTTTTAGGGTATGGAAGGACACGGAGCCAGTGCAGCAGAGAAAACCCCTTCACCAGCAAGCACACCAAGACTCCTGAACCTGGGCCAGTGCGAGTTCTGGGCCAGCCAAGGCCAGGAGTTTCCATTTCACTTGCCTCCTCCCGCTACTGGCCACCCCTCAGCTCCTCCAACCCCCTCACCCACCACTCCCCCACCCCTTTCCTCTCCTTCTCAGGCTTGCTCTTTGTGGACTGGCTGTGATCCTGGGAGGAAAGGAGGAGAGAGGGGAGCCCTGCCAGACTGCAAGCAGAGTGCTGACAGCCCCTAGGAGTTTAAGATGACCTTTCTTACACGTCATCGCATGTTTTATAGCTCTGAAGAGCAGCAGTCTTTTTGGTGGCTAGTAAGTGCAGTACTAGACAACAAGGCAAGTGGTCTGTTGGTAAGAGTTCCTGCCCACGATGCTCTCTACCTGTAAGGAATTAAATTATCTCGGGGATGAAGGTGAACAATATGTAAGAGAGAAGATGGACAGAAAGACCCAAGGGAAATGAGCAGTAAAAGGGAAGCAGGGTTTAGAATTGAGGGAGACCTGTGAGATTGGGGCAGAAAGGGAAAACAGGTCAAACAGGCTCAGAAGGGAAGTGGAGGGGTTTTGCTTTTGAGAAAGGTGCTGTAGGGAGGAGAGACACAGCAGTGGGAGTGAAGGAACCCACAGTGCAGGAAGAAGGTCTTATTTATATTAGAGTGAGGTCATTGGCAAGAGAGAGAGAGAGACAGAGACAGAGACAGAATCCATCTGATTCCCTTCCTTCTGGCTTGACTGGAAGCTGGAAAGGATGGATGGAGAGGGTTGGTGCTGAATTCTGAAACCAGCCCTCGGTAACATGGCCAGCAAATTGCTCTCAGCTTTATGAAATTTGTAGTCTTGTCTATAGTTTAGGAATCTAAACCTGAACCGGTTCTCGAAAACATGGCAATGTAATCTTCTCCATTTCCCAACCTCCCTGCCATCTCTCAGTCCGGTAGCTAGGATGTGTAATTCCTTGCCTCAGGTACTTTTCCAATGCAGAAAGCAAAGCGTCAGGGCCACTTCACGGATGTGTGACCACTGCAGTCCCGTGGACCCCTACACTTAGGAGAGCCTCACCCTTGGTTTAATGCGCTGTTGTCTCCATCTTGGAATTCTTAATACGTTTTGAACAAGAGGCCCCACATTTTCATTTTGCACCGTGCCTCCAAATTACGTAGCTGCTTCTGCAAAGCATCCCGAAGGAGTCAGTCTTTAGTGAAAGCCTGAGCCACTGGACAGATTACCAAAGCTGCTTAGACAGTGAGGTGAGGGTGGGAGGGCCTTGGAAAACCGCCAAAGCCAAGAGGAGAGAATGCAGAGACCTGGGGTAGGGCCTGTGGACCATAGAAGAGCAGTGATGGGCTAACTGACCTATGCATGTGTTACTGTGGTACCCTAAGGAGCTGGCCAGACCCCAGAGGGGATGCCCAGGACCCGGTCGATGACTATGACAGAATTTTCTGTTAAATCAGTGGGATAGGAACTCAACGTCAGCATTGAGTTGACTGAATAAAAACAAAATCATTTCTGTTTACATACATGAAATTTTCAACTGAGACTGATACTTGCCTCATGAGCAAGCAGAAAGATTTTTTTCCAAATTTACCTATAATAGAGGTTCCAGATCAGCAGCCCATAGGCTAGACTTGGTCCCCAAGGGTGTGTTTAGGGGGACTGGGTAGTTGTCTAAATCTTTTCACTAATTTCCAACATTTAAGGAATCAGGAGTTTTCACATAAGGAGCAGACTCCCAGCTTCTCTTGAATAAATTGGAAACTGAGCATCAGAGGGCCTGCATTCTCAAAGCATGACAATCTAAAGTCCCCCTTTAGAAGACTGTTCTGCTGCCTAGACTGCGCTTTTACCTTCCCAACATCCTGTACCAGGCCCACTTTTCCCCTTCACATTACTGCCTGACCTTTGTAGGCAGTGGGACTTGTAATCAGGTCCTGAATGTTTCCCAACAATGCCCTTTCACTGCGTAGTACTCCCTGCGGTGGGTCAAAGGGATTCCTGCAGTGTTGCAACCTGAGTAGGAAAAGCGGATGCAGCCCCGCAAGGTGACCTGACAGGCCTTTGGGAATGCTCCAGAAGAAAAGGTTCACTTGAATTCAATAAGGAAACCAAGGAATTGCTCAGGTAAGTGGTTCTCCACAATATGAACATTTGAAATATTGTTAAGTGTTCTGTGTGGGGGTTTTCTCCACGTGATTGGGGGATATCCCATTAAGGAACAGTACCCATGAATGGTGGAAACTATGAATGATGCTGGGTTATTTTTTAGTTTCTGAGAAGACACTGGTGGAGGTAGGAAGACATTTCTACACTTGAAGGATAATATTCTGACGTTTTCAGGGGCTACTCATTACCTCAGGCCACTATTTGAAGATAGGGTGATATCGGCTGGAATTCTTAGTGTTTTATAAACTTACTTCTTTCCTTTGTACAATTTCTCAGAGTGGGCCCTTTGGCAGAATGAGTGAGTGATAGTGTTTAAGCATCATTCCAAGATGAACCAGACTCTTATTTTTATGGAGGCAGAATTTGCAACCAAATAGTCTGGCTTCAAATATACATTCTTATGTAAGATGTAGTGTGAAGAAAGCCTAGCACCTAGTAAATGCTCAGCACATAGTAAATGCTCAGCAAATGCCATTGTATTTTCTTTTTCTTTTTCTTTTTTTTTTCTTTTTTGAGACGGAGTCTTGCTGTGTGGCTAGGCTGGAATGCAGTGGTGCAATCTCGACTTACTGCAACCTCCGCCTCCCGAGTTCAAGCAATTCTCCTGCCTCAGCCTCCCAAGTAGCTGGGACTACAGGTGCGTGCCACCATGCCCAGCTATTTTTTTTGTATTTTTAGTAGAGACAGGTTTCACCACGTTGGCCAGGATGGTCTCGATCTCCTGACCTTGTGATCTACCTGCCTTGGCCTCCCAAAGTGCTGGGATTACAGGTGTTAACCACTGTGCCTTGCCTGTATTTTCTATTAAATTATATTCACTGTTTGAAGTTTATGGAATGAGGTTGTGTCCCATTCCTACGTTGGTTTATGCTACAAAATTCTTTATGTTTTTAAAAGTTTCTTTAAATTAATTTTATGACATATTGATAGGAAATCTACTTTTCTGGCGTCTTTATTTGGCAATTTCTGCCATTGCCTTCTAACAGAAGTAAACATTTATGCTAGCCAACTCATTCCTGGAAAGATTTCACCAATTTTCTTTGACAGAATTCCCAAGCCGTCATAGTTTTTACACTATCTAATGGAAAACTTTATAAGCTTTTTTTTTCTGGTCACTGAAATATATAGCCTCTGTACCCTAAACCTGCAACCCCTTTCTCCCGCCCTACCTCAATCCCATTTAGGAAATTCAAATAGGGTGGTTTGGAGAAAGGAAAAAATGTCCTAACGTCCTCCTAAAGGAAAAACAAAAAACCAATCTATTTTAAAGCAGGATATTAAAAGTGTCTTAACAACTCTGGTTCAAGCCTGGAGTTCTCCTCTGTTTGGAAAACAGCCGGTTGTTTTGACACTGATTATAAAAAGCACCCTAGTTTAGCATACTTTAAAATGTGGAGAAAATGAACTACTTTTTTAAAGAAACACATTAAAAAATAGTGGACAAAGGAGTATGTAAAAGGGCATTATAAGGATGCAATCAGCACCATTTAAATTGTCCAAACTCTACTGGAGTTTAAAGTGCAGAGAACATTTTATTACCTGAAACATGTGAGAACGAGTTGCTAAAATAGTGCCACAAATCACCCCTGAATATTAAGAAGGTTCTCCTCTATAAGCATCATATAATCATCACAATCAGAAAAGCTATCATTGGTACATCACTACTTTCTAATCTCCAGACCCCATTTGAATTTTCCAGTTATCTCAATAATGGCACTAATAGCAATAGGATCTAGTCTAGAGTTGTGTTCCAGTTGGTTGTTATGTTTCTTTAACCTTCAGTTTGGAATAGTTCCTCAGTCTTTCTTTGACTTTTATGACTGATGCTTTTGAAGACTACAGGCCAATTATTTTATATTTCCTTGTTTTGGACTTTCCTGGTGTTTCCCTATGATTAGGTTCAGGTTATGCATTTTAACAAGATCATCACTTCTGTGAAGCTGAGCTCTTCATTCTGTCAGATGTCACATGATCTCAATGTATCCAATTACTAATGATGTTCATGATCATTACCTGATTAAAGGTGTATCTTCCAAGCTCTCGTATAATATAGTTAATTTAGTGTATTCTACCTTACAGCCCCACCTAGTCACTCCTTCCAACTGTGGCACCAATGGCGTCATTAAGGCCACTAATTTGGCATTATTTTTATTTGTACAGTTTTGTATCACATAAGCCTTTTTTATTTAATTATTTAGAACATCTCTCTTTTTTTTTGATATGCAGTATCACTTGTTCCTAATATACACATAGGAACATCATACCACTGGTTTTCAACATCTTACTTTTAATATACACATTAATGTGCAGAAAGTTTATTTTTTCAGGTCATTGCAATCTCTTGTGTGGAAGACTGACCAAAGAATTTCTTTTATTCTGTATAGAAACAAACTTAAGTATATAGATATGTGTATTTACATATATATACAAAATCAAGTATATACAAATCAAGTTCACACATCTATATATATATGTACCTCAAATTATTTGTCTAAATATTAGGTTGTTGGAAAATTAAATGTAAAGTACAATTTTGATTTTCAAATGAGAAGAAGTTGAAGTTGAAGGGAAGGTCAGGACGGGGTGAAGTGGGAAAATTATACTGAAGAGGGAGAGCAGTGTCCTCCTCCACCATCAGGAATCATGCCTGCACCTAAGTCTGTGTGCCAAGAGTGAGAGTGGGTGGGGTGTCCCTGCCTCCTGTCTCCCGACATAGGGAGCCAGCGGGTGAATAAGCTCAGCTCTAAGGGTCATGCAGTAAGAAGAGTAAGATGAAAGAGAGAGAACTTTGGGAAAGCTGCCTGTGCTCTGTTATTAACTCTTGTGTAATGCTGAGCAATCCTTTTTCTTCTTGGGACCTTAACTTTCATGCCATGGAAATGAGGAGAGAGGAATCTCTTTCAACACTGCACAATAAAAAATGATAGGTCAGGACTGTAAAATTCTGAGATGAGACAAACAGAAGCATAAACATCAAGGACACTTTTGTCCCCTTTGGGCTCACAGAACCTCTAACCCATAGACATACCTTCCTGTGTTTCACACATTTCCAAAGATCCCACCACACACATCCTTTGGGACTGCTTTCCAAGGAACTGTCCATCTGTCCCCTTGTCCTTGCAGCCTTTTAAGTTAAATGTGTTATATTTCAGACACTCTTAGGGGTAACGACACCCTCTTTGCTACTAATGTTGTAGTTCAGATGTGCTTAGTGTGAGATTTACCTTCAGAGAAATGGTGAGGAGACAGACAAACAGCCTGGAGATTAAAAAAGTAGGAAAAGAGTGTGAAAAGGAGAACTATTGTTCATAGACATCTCCATCTTTCTTTCTGGGCTTGAGTGGAGGTTAGAGGGGGCCGGAGCTTTGCTGTGGAGCTTCCCCATGATTCAGTGAGGTTTATTTATAGAAACAGCTTATGGGACTTCTGTGCTTAGGAAATTTGTAGAGCTGTGTGGAAATTACAAAACCATTCAAAAATAGTGTACTCTTGTTAAAATGTGCTGTATTATTATTATTAATGAAGTTCTTTCTTAGGCATTGGTTCTGATACAGCCTTCTCATTGAAGTACTGTCAGAGACATTCTGCACCATGGGCGATTACTAGTTCCAACAGATTTCTGAAAATTATCACCAAGTGGCTATCTGGTAAAGTGGCATAGAGGAGAAGAAAGGAGGTTCTTTTGTATTAAATTAACTAAATAAGTATGATTGTAAAAGCTGCACTGCCTTCTAGGAATGGAAAGAATTAGTCGTGGGCTTGGGCTTTGCAACTACTTGCCCACAGAGCATCTCTCTCTGTTTCAGGTGGGTGGGGCAAGGAGAAAATATTTCCTTTAGGCAAAGTAGCTAAAAAGCATAAACTAAATCTGTTCCTTCAATGAGTTTTCAAATCTAAGCAAGAAGAGTAGACTATTGCAGTGACAGAAGGCAGGCAAGTGGATTAGAAAGACTTTGAGAGAGACTGTGAGTATCAGAAAACCTCCAAACAGCTTCCCTGACAATCCATGTGATTCACTGTGCTCCATGGACCTTCTCTCACCTTAGTGCAAATTAGGGGCTTGGATTAGGGGCCGAGGTTGAGGTAGGGTTGATGCCTTTAAATTCCAAACATTATTTGAAGGCCTCTTTCTGTGGCAGGAGACTAAATGAATAGCTAAAGAAGAAATAAAGGAACAAACCAAAAATTAAGGCCTAATGTTAATTTTTTTCCATTAAGAATTTTAACAGAAAGACAGAAAGATAAAAATAAATATCCCATCATTGCAAGGTCCAAAGAAAGACAGTCTTAACAGTATTAAATATTTACGTCTTGCTTTTCAAATTTCTATTTTTAAAACACAGCTGCAAATTGTGTTTATTTGTGCAACAACTTAAAAAACATTTTCATTTTGAAATAATGATAGATTTGTAAGAAGTTGCAGAAAAAGGTACAGGGAATTCCTGTGCACCCTTTACTTTGTTTTCTGTCATGGTAACATCTTGCATAATTATAGTACAATATCACAATCAAAAAATAGATTATCCGAATAATCTACAGAGCTTATTCAGATTTTACCACTTTTATATGCATTCATCTGTATGTATGCGTATATAGTTATATGTGACTTTATCATGTGTTTAGATTTGTATACCCATCACAATCTAGATACAGAACTATTCCATTACCACAAAGCTCCCTTACGCTACCTCTCTATAGCCACATAGACCCCTAACGACATCTAATTTTTGCACACTTTCTATGTACCAAGCACTGTTCTGGATACTAGGAATGCATCACTAAGCAAGTAAAAGTCTCTGCTCTATTGAGAAGAGACAAAAAATAAGCAATTCCAAAAACTGAACATATAATATAATAGGTATTAGATGATGAGTTCTATAGATAAAAATACATTTTTGAAATTGGTATTATTTCTTGACAAGCTTATAGATTTAGGCACTAGGCTAAGAATTCAACATGCATAGCTGTTTTGTTTTTCTTCGCAGAAATCTGATGAGGGAGGTATATTTTCTGCCTTTTGCTTATGAACAAAATAAGGTGTATAAAGATTAAATGATTTAATCTGAAATCACAAGGCTGCAAGATGAATAAGTAACATACGCAAGTTTATAATGTGTTTTTTAAAACATCCTGGCATAAGCTTTCTTTCATGTTATTAACAGCTCTTTTAAAATGTTATTTAAATTTCTATGTAATATTTTTTGGTGGATATCCAAGACATGAGCTATGCTAGGCAATGTTTTACAAAGCAATTCCTGTCTTGTGGATTATAGTAGCGCCTGTAGTGCTGTTTTGTATGTTCCACAGTTACCAGCCTTTCATTTATTCAGGATAGGGCACATGGAATTAGTGCTTGCCAATGGGCTGTGAGTAAAATTACGTGGTTCGCTTCCGGTCAGAAGCAATTAAGGTATGAGTTTGTCATATTCTCTTCCCCTGCCACAGTGCCTGTAAAAGCCATATATTGAGATAGCAGAATTTCACGATGGAGCAAGTATGGATCTCTGATCAGTGGATGAAAGAATGCCCCTTGGCTTGCATTTTTGTGTAAAGAAGAAAGAAACTTCTGTGTGCAAAGCCATCGTGTTGTTTATTTTCACAGTAGTAGCCTTGAGTTCAGTTTTTGGACTCTTACATATAATATTGCCTTGAAAAATCATTCCGGATTAAATATTTCTTATGTTTGAGATTTTCTTGCTATATGACTAGAAGTGGAACTAATGGCTCAAAGCTTCTGAGGCTTACTTCCAAGTTGTTTTCCAAAGTGTTGTTTCTATTAAAAATGCATTGAGTGTCATTTCTCACTAAACTATCAAGATCATTAATTACTAAGATCGAGATAATATATTCAAGCACATGAAAGAGACAAAGAAATATCATTGTTGATTTGATTCATACTCATTTCATTATCAGTGAAGTTGACCTTGTTTTCATGCATTTATTTTTTTAATAGCTTTATTTAGGTGTAACTGACCTACAATAAACAGCACATATTAACAGTGTAAAACTTGATAAGTTTTGATATCTGTATATGCCAGTGGAAACATTACTACAATCAAGAAAATGAACATTTGGAGATGATCTCCAAGACTTTCCCTATGCTCATTTACAATCCCTCTCTTCTACTCATCTCTGACTTAAAAGATGTGGCTCCTCTATCTTTGGCTTGCGTTGTTTATGATAAGTCAGCTTTCATCATTATTTTTGTAGTTTTGTATGTATATTTTTTCCCTCTGACGATTTTTAAGGTTTTCTCTTTATTACTCATTTTAAGCAATTTATTATATGTCTTAGTATAGTTTTATGTGTGTGTGTGTGTGTGTGTGTTTGGGGATCACCAAGGTTCTTTGAACTTTGGATTTATAGTTTTCGTCCAATTTGGTAATTGAGGGGGAATTCTTTCTCCAAATATTTTTCCAATTACATGTAAACTAGGTAGATTAAGTTTCTCATATTTTATATATGCTCAGTTAGATTTTTGCTCTTTTTTCTCTTTGTATTTCATTTTGAATAGTTCCTATTGCTGTGTCACCAACTTAACTAATTTTTTTTTTACAGTGCATAATCCTGCTGTTAATTCCATCCAGTTGTGTTTTTCTCTTAGGAACCGTATTTTTCATGTCTAGAAGTTAGTTTTGGTTCTTTAAAAATATTTTCCATGACTTTAATCTTTTAAACATATGATTGCAGTTATAATAATTGCTTTGATGTTTTTGAGTGCTAGTTCAAATGCCTGTGCTAGATTTGGGTCTTCTTTTAATCTTAATTTTTTTTTAGAGGTGGAATCTCACTATGTTGCTCAGGCTGGAGTGCTGTGGCTACTTCACAGGTGAGATCATACCACACTACATCCTCAAACTCCTGGGCTCAAACAACCCTCTCACTTCAGCCTACCAAGTGGGTCTTTCTTGACTGATAGTTTCCTTCTTAAAATTGGTCATATTTTCCTGCTCCTTTGTATACATGGTTGATAGTCATTGTGAGTTTTTGTCATTTTGCGTGCTGGATATTTTTGTATTCCTCTAAATATTCATGAACTTTGTTCTGGCATTCAGTTAAATTACCTGGAATTAGTTTGATCCTTTTGGGTCTTGCTTTTCGAATTTGTTAGGTAGGACCAGAGCAGCATTTACCCTAGGGTTAATTATTCACCACTGCTGAGGGAAGAAGCTCTAAGTACTCTATGCAAAGGGTTATAAATTATCAGGGTTTTTTTTTTTTTTCTGGTCTGATTGATGGGAATAAGCATTGGTACTGGCCCATTGTAGCGCTGGGTTTTGTTCCTTTTAACCCTTGAAGGTAGTTATTTTCTGGTCTCAAGTATTTTATAATGGTGTATAACAGCCAAAACTCTCTTGAAAAAGAATTACAAATTCAGAGGATTTGCACTATTTGCATCTAAGCCTTACTATAAGGCTACAGTAATTAAGAAAGTGTGGTGTTTTTAAAAGATCATGATGAAACCCCGTCTCCACCAGAAATTCAAAAATTAGCCGAGTGTTGTGGCGGTGGCCTTTACCGAGTTTCCATATATCATCATCATCATTATCATCATCATCCAGTATTTATAGTTGCAAGCAACAGATGAAAACTTTGGCTAGTTTTAGCAGAAAACACATTTATTAAGGAGTATTAATAGCTCACGTAATCTCTGAGAATAATGCTTGGAGTTGACTACCGTCAAGAAAAACATTTAAAAAATCATTCTACAGAAGTGATTCTATGAAGGCATTGATGCAGTTTTTTTGGGGGGGAGGCACAGACAGGGTAGTGTGTGCTGCTGATACCCATGGTACACCGGATAATCCTAGAATTGTTAACACTAGTTATTCAGGAAACTGGACTTGCTACTGCCTCTAGTGTCAGTCTCACCACATTTAATTCTGGGCAGTTCCTCCCTTTTTGTATCACTAGTCCTTGACTGGCACAAAAACACCTGAGTAATAGAGACCGGGTCACAAACCTGTGCCCCTACTGCAGAAGATGCTGAGAATATTTTAGCCTCTCCTAAGAGAGGATACCCCAAGCATCAAAGGAAGAAGACGCTGGACAGAAAAACAACATCATGACAGATGTTTACATTTCACATCTTTGGCTCCTCCAACATACATACACTTCTTTCTTCTCATGTTAACAATGCCTCCCACTTAAAACGTTCTCATCTGACACTGTGCACAGTTGGAACACACTAGCCGTCTTCTCAGATGATGTCAGAGTTTCACCCATCTCCGAGACTGGATGTTTTCAACAAATACCAGGCCTCCTCTGGAATGTCAAAATCCTGCCTTGATATTCTATAACCTGTGGACCAATCTGAAAAATGTGCTGCTATGAACAAACCCAAATAAAATAGTAAGGGACAGGAGATGAATGAAGAATTAATAAAACATACCAATATACATGTGACACATCAAGGAGAAAAATTTGTGAAGACGCTATATCCTCATTTCTGTGACTGGCCACGTGGTCACAGTGTTTGTGACTTTTCTGCTCCACCCATTCCATAATCCCTTTGCCCTCACCCAGCTCCTTAGCTTGTTTGGATTATTCACCCAAGGGGTTATCCGAATCTTCATTCTGAAGAAGGAATGTTAGAGTGGGCATTAAGTATGTGGAAACTGAATATCATGTACCTCACAGTCAATCTATTAGACTTCTATTTTTCTCTTTTTTATTTAATAGCCTTGTTTTTTTTTTAATTCTTTTTAATTTTTGAGATGGAGTCTTGCTCTGTCACCTAGGCTGGAGCGCAGTGGCACAATCTCGGCACACTGCAACCTCTGCCTCCCAGGTTCAAGCAATTCTCCTGCCTCAGCCTCCCGAGTAGCTGGGATTACAGGCAGCCACCACCACACCTGGCTGATTTTTTGGTATTTTTAGTAGACACGGGATTTCACCATCTTGGCCAGGCTGGTCTTCAACTCTTGACCTCGTGATCCATTCGCCTCGGCCTTTCAAAGTGCTGGGATTACAGGCATGAGCCATGGCGCCCAGCCCAGCCTTAAGTTTTTAGGATAGCATTTTACCAGCCAGTGCTAATAAATTAAATTCCTGTGGGCCAGCTTGAGACTACAGGCACTCCTACTTAGTAGTTGCTTATGAAAGATATTTGGACATATAGGAGGAAGGAAGGAGCTATTGATACAAGGGCAAAATAAGATGAAATTCTAACCAAGAAAGCCGTTAAGAAGAAATTTGTTTTTTAAAATCGAGCACCAGAAAATATTTGAGAATAAAAATCGGATTTTCCAATAGGCATGAAGACATCTTTGAAGGTTACCTGTAAAACAAGCCCTCTGGGGACATTTTCTTTCACTTGATCTTAGCCAAAAGGCTGAGAAGCAATGGACATTTGGCTTTCAAAGACTGACTTCTCTTTAAATCTCCATAGGCCTTTATGATAATTGGTCGCTATGGATAACATTACTTAATATGTGTAATTTTAGAACATGTATAAATAGTCGTTTTTTGGTTAATCAAAAATATCTTGATTTGTCTTTCTATTTTCTGCATTGTATAAAGGCGAACAAAGGATTTTAGTATATTCCTAATTTTAAAAATGATGCATTTGAGTAATTTTTGATACAACAGGTGTTAACAGTGAAAAATATACCCTTTGGAACCTGGATCTGACTACTCTTCTGGCTCTGGAGGCAACAGAACCATATGCTGGTCACAGATGAGAGCAGTTTCTCAACCCTGGCACTATTGGCATTTTGAGTCATACAGTACTGTGTTGTGGGGGACTGTCCTGTGCAATGTAGAGGGTTTAGCAGCATCCCTGGCCTCTATTCATTAGACAACCGGAAATTTCTCCAGACACCGCCAAATGTCCACAGCTGGGCATTTGCCCCAATCGAGAACCACTCAGCGAGAGCATATACAACAAAGCAACCTCACAAAATATTGTTTTGTAGTTGGAGTCATATTCATTCTTCAATAAGTTATTATACTTGGATAATGGATTACCTTATGAAATTTGTGGACCCTTAAGCATTAGACTAATTACTTTAAAAAAATTCTCAACAATATAGGGAAAATTTTGAGTTTTCAGTTCTTACTAGGAGTGCTTGGAAGCACTTCCGACGTGTTAACTCATTTAGCACTGAGTGCCGCCCTTTGGGGAAGGCACTTTTATTCCTGAGGCACAAATAGGTTAAGAAACTTCCTTAATGCGAAATTGTTAGTAGGGGATAGAGCCAAGATTTTGAAAATTGGTTTTTAGATTTGTTTATTATTATTTTATTACTGGATTTTAAAAATGTTGAAATTAGGGATACATGTGCAGGTTTGTTTCATGGGTATATTGATGCTAAGGTTTGGGCTTCTAATGATTCTGTCAACTAAGTAGTAAAAGTAATACCTGGTAGGTAGTTTTTAACACTTGCCCCCCTCCTTTCCTGTCATGTTTTGGAACCTTCAGCATCTATTGTTCCCATTTTTGTGTCTGTGTCTATGTGTACCCAATGTTTATCTCCCACTTATAAGTGAGAACATGTGGTATTTAGTTTTCTATTTCTGTGTTAGTTCAATTAGGATAGTGGCCTCCAGCTACATCCATATTGCTGCAGAGTACGTGATTTTGTTCTTTTTATGGCTGCATAGTATTCCATACACCACATTTTCTTTATTCAGTCCACTGCTCATGGGCACCTGGATAGACTCCATGTCTTTGCTACTGTGGATAGTGCTGTGATGAACATATTAGTGCAGGTATCTTTTTGGTAGAACAATTTATTTTCCTTTGAGTGTATACCCAGTAATGGGATTGCTAGGTAGAATGGTAGTGCAACTCTTAGTTGTTTGAGAAATCTCCAAACTGCCCTCCCCAATGACTGGACTAATTTGCTTTCCAACAGTGTGTAAGTGACCCCTTTTCTCAACAGCCTCAACAACATCTGTGATTTTTGGACTTTTTAACAAAAGCCATTCTGACTTGTATGATATGGTATCTCATGGTGGTCTTGATTTGCATTTCTCTGATCATTAGTGATGATGAGTATTTTTTATATGTCTGTGAGTTGCTTATATGTCTTCTTTTGAGAAGTATCCGTTACGTTCTTTGTCCACTTTTTAATGCGATTATTTACTTTTTCTTGTTGGTTTATTTAAGTTCCTTATAGGTTGTTCAGTATATTAGACCTCTGTTGGATGCATAGTTTGTGAATATTTTCTCCCATTCTGTGTGTTGTCCGTTTACTCTGTTAATAGTTTCTTTTGCTGTGCAGAAGCTCTTTAGTTTAATTAGGTCCCACTTGTCAATTTTTGTTTTTGTTGCAATTGCTTTTGATGACTTAATCATAAATTCTTTGCCAAGGTCGATATTGAGAAGGGTATTTCCTAAGTTTTCTTCCAGGATTTTTATGGTTTGAGGTCTTACATTAAGTCTTTAATCCATTTTGAGTTAATTTTTGCTTATGGGGATGGGTAGGGATCCAGTTTCATTCTTCTGCATATGGATAGCCAGTTATCCTAGCACCATTTATTGAAGAAAGGAGTATTTTCCAAATTGCTTATTTTTGTTGACTCTGTTGAAGATCAGATATTTATAGGTGTGTGGCTCTATTTTTGGGTTCTCTATTCTGTTCCCTTCTTCTACGTGTTTGTTTTTGTACCAGTACCATGCTTTTTTGGTTACTATAGCCTCATAGTATAGTTTGGAGTCAGGTAATGTGATACCTCTGGTTTGTTCTTTTTGCTTAGGATTGTTTTGGCTCTTTGGGCTCTTTTTTGGTTCCATATAAATTTAGAATAGTTTTTTTTTTAATTCTGTGAAATGATTTGGCAATTTGATAGTAATAGCATTGAATCTGTAAGTTGCTTTGGGCAGTATGGTCATATTAATGATACTTTTTCTTCCAATCCATGAGCATGGGATGTTTCTGTATTTATTTGTGTTGTCTCTGATTTTTTTCAACAATGTTTTGTAGTTCTCCTTGTAAAGGTCTTTCACCTCCTAAGTTAGCTCTATTCCTAGGTATTTTATTCTTTTTGTGGCTATTGTAAATGGGATTGCATTCTTGATTTGGCTCTCAGCTAGAACATCATTGGTGTATAGAAATGCAATTGATTTTTTTTACATTTATTATGTATCCTGAAACTTTGCTAAAGTTGTTTATCAGTTCCAAGAGCCTTTTGGTGGTGTCTTTAGGGTTTCCTAGGTATAGAATCATATTGTCAGTGAAGAAAGACAGTTTGACTTCTTTTTTCCTATTTAGATGCTTTCTATTTCTTTCTCTTGCCTAATTGCTCTGGCTAAGACTTCCAATAGTATATTCAATAGGAGTGGTGACAGTGGGCATCCTTTCTTGTTCCAGTTACCAAGGGCATTGCTTCCAGCGTTTGCCCATTTAGTATAACGTTGGGAGCTGGTTTGCCATAGATGGCTCTTATTATTTTCAGGTATGTTCTTTTGATGCTTAGTTTGTTGCAAGTTTTTATCATGAAGCGATGTTTAATTTTATTGAAGGCTTTTTCTGCATCTATTGAGATGCTCATATGATTTTTGTTTTTATTCTGTTTATATGGTGAATTACATTTATTGATTTGAATATGATGAACCAATCTTGCATACCAGGAATAAAGCCTACTTGATCATGGTGAATTAACTTTTTGATAGGCTGCTGGATTCAATTTGCTAGTATTTTCTTGAGGATGTTTATATCTATGTTCATCAGGGATATTGGCCTGAAGTTTTTTCTTTTCATTGTGTCTCTACCAGATTTTGGTATCAGGATAATGCTGGCTTCATAGAATGAGTTAGGGAGAAGTTGTTCTTCCTCAATGGTTTGAAATAATTTCAATAAGATTGGTATCAGTTCTTCTGTGTACATCTGTTAGATTATGGTTGTGAATCCATCTGGTCCAGGGCTTCTTTTGTTGTTGTTGGTAGATATTTTATTACTGATTTCTGAACTCATTATTGGTCTGTTCAGGTTTTCAATTTCTTCTGGTTCAATCCTGAGAGATTGGGTGTTTGCAGGGATGCATCTATTTTCTCTAGATTTTCTAATTTGTGTGCTTAGAGGTGTTCATTACAGTCTCTGATAATCTTTTGTATTTCTGTGGGATTAGTTATAATGTCATCTTTGTTACTTCTAGTTGTGTTTATTTGGATCTCTGTTTTTTTCTTTGTTAATCTAGCTAGTGGTTTATCAATATCATTCTCTCAAAGGACAAACTTTTGGTTTTATCAATCTTTGTATGGATTTTGGTGTCTCGATTTCATTCAATTCTGCTCTGATTTTACTATCTTGTGTCTCTATTTTCATTTATTTCAAAGAATTTTTTTGTTTTATCTTTAATTTTGATGCTTATCCGAAAGTCCCTCAGAAGCAAGTTGTTTAATTTCCAAGGAATGTGTGGTTTTGAGATATCTTCTAGGTGGTAATTTCTGTTTTTATTGCCCTGTGGTCTGAGAGTGTGCTTAGTATGATTTCCATTTTTTTTTTAATTTATAGAGACTTGCTTTACAGCCAAACTTGTTGTTGATATTAGAGTATATTCTATGTGCAGACGAGAAGAATGTGGTTGTTGAGTGGAATATTTGGTAGATGTCTGTTAGGTCCATTTGGTCTAGTGTTGAGTTTACGTCCAGAATTTCTTTGTTAATTTTCTGCCTTGATGATCTGTCTAATGCTGTCAATCAGATGTTGAAGTCTATTATTGTGTGGCTGTCTAAGTCTTTCTTTTGTAACTTTATTTTAGGTTTGAGGGTACATATGAAGATTTGTTAGCTAGGTAATCATATGTCATGAGGGTTTGTTGTATATATTATTTCATCACTCAGCTATTAAGCCTAGTACCCAATAATTATCTTTTCTGCTCCTCTCCCTCCTCCTACCCTCAAGTAGACCCCAGTGTCTGTTGTTTCCCTCTTTGTGTTCATAACTCTTCTAATCAGTCTAGAGAAAATCGTTTATGAAGGTGGGTGTTTCCAATGTTGGGTGCATCTATATATGCATATGTATAGATAGATTTAGAATATATAATAGATGTATATATTTCTATATAATAGTTGTCTTCTTGTTGTATTGAATCCATTATCATTATATAATGTCATTCTTTGTCCATTTTGACTATAGTTTATTTAAAATCTGTTTTATCTGTTATAAGACTAGTGATCCCTGTTCTTTTCTGTTTTCTGATTGCGAGATAGATCTTTCCCCATCCTTTTACTTTGAGCTTGTCCGTGTTGTTACATGTGAGATGGGTCTCTTAAAGACAACAGATAGTTGGGTCTTGTCTTTTTATCCAGTTTACTACACCATGCCTTTAAGTGGAATGTTTAGATGGCTTACTTTCAAAGTTAACATTGCTATGTGAGATTTTGATCCTGTCATCATATTGTTAGCTAGTTGTTTTGTAGACTTGATTGCGTAGTTGCTTTATAGTGTCTTTACTTCCCAAAATATGCCTGATCTCATCTCATTTCAGATGATGTAGTAATTAAAAAACAATAACAACTTCCTGAAGAACTCCACAGGCTCATATGATCTTAGTGGAAATTTCTACCAATGTTTAAAGAAGAAGTAACATTAATTCTACCTAGTGTTTACCAGAAATAGTAGAGGAACACTTCCAATTTTATTTATGAAGCTAGTATTACTCTGCAAACCAATATCTTTCTAGAATATAGATGCAAAAATTCTTAACAAAATACTTGCAAATAGAATTAATAAATGCATAAAAAGTTATACAGCATGATCAAGGCAAGATTTATTTCAGCAATGTAAGACTTATTCAATGTTTGAAAATAAATCAATGTAATTCACCATATTAACAGTCTAGAAAAGAAAAATTACATGATTATATCAATTCTTGCAGAAAAAGCATTCGACAAAGTTCAATACATATTTCTGATTAAAAATCCCTCAGAATAATGGGAATAGGAGGGAACTTCTTAGCTTGATGAACGTGTCAACAAAAAGTCTACAGCTAATGCTCTACTCAGTGGTAAATGAGTGCTCTTTCCCAAGATCAGGAACAAGATGATGATATCTTCTCTCAGTTCAACATAGTGCTAAACATTCTATCCATGTAATAAAGTAAGAAAGAAAATAAAAACATATAGATTTGAAAATATGAAATAAAACAGTCTGTATTTGCAGATGGAAACATAATTGTGTACACAGAAAATCCTAAGAAATCTCTAAAAAGTTTCTAGAATTAATAAGTGGGTTAAGCAAAGTTAGAGGATACAAGATAAATATACAAAAATCTTGTATTTCTACATGCTAGTAGTAAATAAGCTGACACTGGAATTCAAAGTATAGTACCCTTTATAAGAGCTCAAAAACAAAATAATTAGGTAGAAATCTAACAAATTATGTACAGGAATTACAGAAACATGTAGAAAACTACATATTCTTAATGAAATAAAGTTTTAGTAAGGATTTAAGTAACTAGAAAGACATACTATATTCACAAATTAGAAAACTCAAAATAGTAAAACTTTTAGTTCTCCACAAATCAATATATACGTTTAACATATCAAAGTTTCAGTAAGAACAAAAAAATAACAAAACAAAATAAAAAAAGAAAAAACAAAGTTTCAGCAAGATTTCTTTTCATAAATATAGACAAGAGTATTTTACAATTTATATAAAATAGCAAAGAATGTAGAAGAGCTAATAACAACTTTGCAAAAGAAAAATAAAGTGGGAGGAATTAGTCTATGCAATTTTAATATTTATTATAGATTTACAGTGATCAAGTCAACATTGGAATGGCAAAGGAATAGACACATAGATAACTGGAACACTATAGAAAAGCAGGAATAAACCCACACAAAAACAATCTACCGACTTTTGACAAAGGTGCAAAAGCAATTCAGTGGAGGAAATATAGCCTTTTTGACAAATGATGCTGGAGAAATTGGCCATCCATAGGCCAAAAATAACTAGATAAATAAATAAAAGCAACTCCATTGACCTTACAACTTATAAAAAAGTTAACCCAAATGGGTCATATACTTAAATGTAAAATGCAAAACTATACATTTTTTTTCAAAAAAAATAGGAGAAACACTTTGACATGTAGAATAGGCAGAATTCTTAGACTTGAGACAAAATGCAAGATCCATAAAATGAAAAATGATAAATTGGACTTCACCAAGATTAAAAACCTCTTCTCTGAGAAAGACTCTATTAAGAAGACAAAAAATTAAATTATACTTCACCAAGATTAAAAACTTCTTCTCTGAGAAAGACTCTATTAAGAAGACAAAAAATTAAATTATAGGCTGGGAGAATATATTTGCAAACTCCATGTCCAACAAAGTACTACTTTCTAGAGTACATAAAAACTCCCAATATTCAACAGTAGAAAAGCAAACAATCCAGATAGAACTTGGACAAAAGACACAAAGAGATATTTTACTGAGTAAGATATACAGAAGGCAAATAAGCACATATGATTTTCAACATTATTAACTGTTAGGAAAATGAAAAGAAAAACCATCAGAAAGACTAGAGTAAAAATGGCTGACAATTCCAAATGTTGATGAGGATGAAGAAAAACTGGATCATTCATCCATTTCTGGGAGAAATGTAAAACAATGCAACCACTCTGGAAAATGGCTTGGCACTTTCCTGAAACAACAAACAAAAAACCCCAAGACCTAATCAAGCAACTACCAGCAGTTGTATCCCTGAGCATTTATCCCAATGAAATGAACACAATGTTCACACAAAAAGCTGTACATGAACATTTGTGGCAGCTTTATTAATTATAGCCTGAAACCAGAAATAATCCAGATGTCCTTCAACATGAGTATGGTTAAACAAAAGGTATGTACAACAGAGTATTTCTTAGCAATAAAAAGAAATGTAGTATTGACATACATGAAAACCTAAATGAATCTTCATGAAATTATGCTGAGTGAAAAAAGCCAACCCCAAAAGGGATATACTGCATGATTTCATTTATAGATCATTCTTAAAATGCCAAAATTATAGATATGGAGAACTGATAGTGACTACCAGAGGTTATGGAGAGGATGGGGCAGGACAGAATTGGGTTGGGTGTGGCTCTGAAAGAATATCAGCATTAGGTTTTCTTGTGGTGATGGAAATGTTCTGTATCTTTAATATATCAATGCCAATATCTTGGTTATGATATTTTAGTATAGCTTTGCAAGATGTTACCATTGATGAAAATTGGATAAAGGGCACAAGGGATACTTCTGTATTATTTCGTAAAATAATGCATGAATCCACAATGATCTGAAAATACAAAGTTTAATTGACAATAAAATTTGAAGAGGTGTAGAAATTTCATACTTTCACAAAATTAAGGATTTTGGATGATCTTGATTCTTTTTTATTTTATTTTTGCAATAGCCAGTAATACTCCTTTTACCAACATTATGCAGATTTGCAGTTTTCAATATGTCTATGTGATGCTACTATAATTGGACTTTAAATTGTACCATAAGAAATGTACTAGCTTCTCTGACTTTTTGGAATGACCTAAGACTTCAGTGAAGATGTTAGAGGAGAGAGGAATGGAGGAAAACAGCTTTCCACAGGGAGAAGAAGGGCAGAAGAGAGGCCCTGCCCTTGAGAAATGGGAGTGGTGACAACAATTAACATTCTAAGACTCCTAAGGGGAATCCGTCCACTCTACATTGTCAATGGAGCTGCTGCCAAGCTTTGTTAGGCCTGTGTTCTAGCTGTTTTCAGAGCTCTTGTCAACTTCCTCCCAGCAGTGTTTCTCATAATCACAATTAATCCTCAGTGATTTATGAGTTCAGGAGCCCAAGGAATTTGGGATATCTAATCTACATGGTCTATCACTTTGTTGGAGGAAGGCTAAAAGCCAACTTAAACCTGGACTGAAGTAGGCATGTCTGTTTTGTCAGGCACTGATTAATGTTAGAGAGGCTTCCACAGGATGTGGGATTGTAGGTTTAGAAGGGAATGAAATAGAAATAATTTGACTTCTTAGGGACTTTGGATTAGGAGTATGGGACATGGCTGGTAAAAATCCTCTCATCCTAAGTATTATAGCAAATGTAAAATAACTGCTTTGCAGAAGCTTGAGACTTGGGTACATTTTATTTTCAACAGACTTCTCAATTTTGATATTTAGTACTAACCTAGAGAGAGAATAATACTTAGAGAATCCCAGAAGTATAAAATTTTTATTTAGGTATTGATATTGATTAGCAGGTGGTAGGAATATTAGTATAGTACATTTCCAAGTAAGATAAATTGCCAATTGCTTTAAAGCTTCCTGTTTCAATTTATTTCCCTAAGGGTTTCATCTACACAAAATTATGATTTTCCTTTTAATAACAGAAAAATGGAAATGTAAGTTGATTAACAGTTTATTCAAAGAACTTTGGCACTCAGAGAGTGACCTAGAGCTAGAATTTAGGTCTCCTAAATCTTATTCTAGGGTTGGTTTCCCTAGAATTGGCTGTACGGATTGCACTATGAAGACTTGCTAACGGAAAGAATTATACTTTATACCGCAAAAGAATGCACTATTCTTAGCTACAGGTGGCAAGAGATATAAAGAAGGTGAACGTTTACACAATAAGACCATAGTAAAATATGCTATTAAAAGTGAACATCAGGGTTGCACGTATTTTAGAAGCAGGATCTAAATAATTGGACTCCGATATGTGAAAAGTCAGATAACCAAACCAGACTGGAAGAGGATAACAAGATCCCAAAGAGGAAAAAAAATTGTTCTTCCAGGATGTCAAACCTATCTTTGAGATATTCATCATCCAAAGGGTCCTGGGGTTCTCTTTTTCCAAATATTAGGATAATGCAAATATTCCTGCTCATGGTGGACGCACACTGTGTTTACATCAGTCAACCCTTCAAACATGAGTCAGAGAAATCTTTCTCTAAATGAAGGTGCCATTTCTATTGACAGCTCAACTTCGTAAAGGTATGACTTTGAGTTGTTTTGACTAGTAGAAAGAAACATTTGCCCTTTTTTGCTCTGTTTCTGTATTTAGGCTTTCACTTGTCCTAGCCAAGATTATTTAGATCCCCAATACGGAAGGTCAAATATGTTAAATGCTAAATAATTAGATTCTCTTGATTTACACAAAAAACCATAACTAACTAAAATAGAAACTTTTAATTATCTGTATTGTTGTATAAAATGTTTTATATATTAGGAATCTAAAAATTTGTTTTTTGCTTGTATCCTCTGTCATAGGAAGAAGACATCATGTCTCTGTTTACTGTAACCATTAATAAAGGCTAATAACAGACAGTACATGATGATACTTTTAACTAGGGCAAACAAAAGTAATATTTTAACAATGAGGTTTGGTCTTTGCTATCTATACCTCATGTCTAATTTTCCCTACAATGTAAATGTCATTCCTCCTCTCTACCCATTTGTAAGGGTCTCAGTTTTCTGCTCTTGCATGACTTATTTTAAAGGGTCACAATAAGGCCAGGTAATTCATATTTTAAAAATTCCATTTAGAATAATTACATCTAAAAATTCACAAGAAAGACAATTTCAATATAAAATAATAAATTACTAATATTGGAATTTCAAGCATTAGTCATGGCAAAAAAGAGATAATTTGTAGCAGAATATTTTAATGGCAACTTTCTTATTCTATCACTTATTGTGTTCTATTTGTTATGACCAAAGAAATTACTCTATATCCACTACAATTCATAAAACAGGCATGAGGAAGTCTTTTTTTCTTGGTGCTCATGTCTAAGAAGATGAACCTCAGAGGTATGTCATTTTTCAATACTATGTTCTGAACAGACAGCACACATTATTTTTGAATGGACAACAAAATCTCAAAACATATATAGAGAGGTATGGTTTGAGGTGTGTCCAGTATGAGGATAATATGACCCAGCGGATGTAAAATTGGATTTTATTATTAAAGGAAAATGGGGTGTCTTCAAAAAGATAAAACAGCGGGAGTTGGGATGAGTACTGAGAAAAGAGCACAAAAACAGGCTTGTAGAGGAGGAAGATCTCAACAGAGCTGACTCTTATCTGTGCTCACATTCAAAACTGACTTTTGAACAAAAGCTGCATCCTTTGCCCTATACTATAGTCCCAACTACTCTGGAGGCCAAGGCAGGAGAATCACTTGAACCTGGGAGGTGGAGGTTGCAGTGAGCCGAGATCGTGCCACTGCACTCCAGCCCGCGCAACAGAGCAAGACTCTATCTCAAAAAAAAAAAAAAAAAAAAAAAAAAACAAAAAAAGGAGAAATAGAAAATATGATTCAAGGCTCTGTTTCTTATCCCCCTTAAGGCTAGGGGAATGAGAAATATAAAGGTGAAAATTTACACAATAAGACCATAATAAACTATGTTACCAAAGGTGAATGTCAGAGATGCACATATTTGAGAAACTGGGTCTAGATAATTGGACTCAGATGTGTGAAAAGTCAGGTAACCAAACCAGAATTCTTTGCACAGAGAAAAATGGATCAAATGTTCTCAAAAATCTATCTTTTTTGATGTTGTCTTTCACTGATGTTGATATCAATGAGAAACAGGTTTTGGGATAGTTTCAGATCCCCTGAAACACTGGAGTAGACCAGGCTTTAGACTTCTGACACCAAGTGTTTGGATATGCAGAACACCATCTAGCAAGTATTTCATTCTTCATTCTGAAGACAGATTAGGAATCCAGCTCTATTTAGCTGAAAGCTGAGTCCAAGATAATGAGGAGATGGTGTTAACTGCAGGTGTGTCAAAATCATCTAACACATTTCCTCCTCCATTTATCTTTATAAATGCAGACACTATTTCTATTTTTTTTATCTGCCATGAATCTAAGAAGGGCTCTATGGCTAAAAACCAGGAATATTTGGATATCAGTTATTTTAGGTTTAAATTATTTTAAAATCAAGGCAATGCTAAATATAGTCTGATGGATTAAAAATAATTAGCTGACATACTTGTGAATGGTATTTAGCATTAGAGGGATATTTTAGTGAAAACTTTGCTCTAAACACATCATGATAATAAATGCTACAACTAATAAAATAAAAGATAGGATAGGACCTATTATCAAGAATTTGGACACTCCTCTGTCCAGAATATACTTAGCCCTGTAGTCAGACATCGTAAGATATGTTTGTACATGATTATAATTTAGGTATGAATATATTTTAGGATAATCAGTTTGGTTTACAGTGTAAGGTGGTTTGGAGTGGGCCCAGGGCAAATCAGTGAGACTCATAAGCAGGTGATTGTATTTCATCAGATGGGAAGTGATGAGGCATGTGGGCATGTGTTAAGGCATTAGCAGTGTGAATGAAAACTAAGGATAGATGGGAGGTATGTAACACAAGAATACAAGAAGCTGATATATTCCAAGGAGGGGCAAGAAAGAGAAAAATTAAACATGATACATTGGGAGAGTGGAAGAATTTTAGTTCCATTGATAGAAATAAGGGAGTCAGGTGCTTGTAGAGATGTGAGTTGAGTCTATGGTGAAATATTTAGAATACATTCATTAAGCTGTTGAAGGAGGCAACTGAACCTTTGGAGAGAAGTATAGGAGATAAATATAGAATTGAGATTGGGCCATATAAAGTTGATAAGAATTATTATAGTTAAGATAAGTCCTTCAAAGAAAAGCTATAGAAAGGAGAGAGCAAGTTCTGAGCACAGAAACTTAGAAAATACTTACAGCGATGGAATAAGAAAAATTTGAAATAATTATCCAGGAATACAGAAAAAAAATAAGTTTGGAATAAAATCAGGACAGAAGAGTTTCACAGAGTTGAGAGTTTTAAGAAACAAGTAGTTAAATGTGTTAAAAGACAAACAATGAAGGTAGAATAAAAGTCTCTGGATATGATTTTTAGAAAGCTACAAGTGACCTCTAAGAGTGCAATTTCTATAGATTAGTGAAGGTGGAAATTAGATTTTCAGGGCCTAAAGAATGAATGTTATGAGGAAATAAACCCAACAAGTGGATACCAATCCTTTGGGAATGCTGGATGTGAAAGAAAAGAGAGAATTAAAATGATAATTATGTAGCAAAAGGTCTTCTCCCCAAAAGAACTGTATAGTTTTTATAATGAGCAAGTGGGAGCTGATCAAGAGCAAGATAAACCAGAGGATGCTAGGAGGGGGAATAATGAAAGAATATGCTATGAAAGTTATCAAGGGCATGAAATGAAAGGTCAACCAATTATCATCAGTAAATGATGAGCACTAAAGTGATTCAGTCATTAGTGTAGCAACTTTAGATCTTCAGTGCATTAGATTTCACCAACATATCTTTCAATTAACCAATATTTATCCATATTTTACAGATGAAGAAATATGAAGTGCGTAAAGGCTAAGTAGCTTGTTCCAGGTCTCAAGAAGCAGAAAGGGATGTGGATTGTTTGGCTTTGAGGCTCATGCTTTTTCTAGGATGTGATGCTGTCAATCAGTCATAGTGAGACAAAGGCTGTAGTAGAGAGATGTGCAGAGTGGGTGAGAAGAGCATATGAGTCATGGGCTTGCATGTTCTCCAGGCAGCTGTCATAGTGCAGCAGAGGAACAAATTTTGTGATAACAATTTGTTCTGTGTCTTTCACTCCACTTGCCAGGTCAGCTCTTTGAGGACAGGGAAATGTAATATTCACCTTGAAATCTCAGCATCTAGTAAAAATGGCACTTCATAGTTGTTTGCCAAATTAATTGAAAATGAAATACCTGCTGTGGAGGCAGATCTGCTATATAGTCAACAAAGGTTTCCAGATGTGTTTTTTCTTTTATGCTAGAAAGCTTAAGCAGCCATTTTCCTACCATCTTTTTTCTGAGACCATATGCAAAGGCTTTCTTAGAAAAATAAAAAGAGTGAGTAGGAATAAACAGAACAATAGAAAAATAAAAATAACAAGATATATTTACCACTCCCCTTCCTCTTTTGCCAAAGATTGAAAGAGCCTAAATCCTCAGTAAGACCCAAAGTTCCCAGGAACTTCAAATAGTATAAGTTACCTCCAAGACTTTAAATATATTAACAGTTTTGCTTCCTTTTTCAAAAAGTCTGAACTTGAGGGGATGTAAGGGGAAAACTTGTTTGTTACTTTGTCTCCCCCAGAGTAGAGGTCATATTACCACTAATACCTGTACTGCTAGAGTACTACTACCTAACATACCTTTCACCAACATACCTTTCAATTAACCAATATTCATCCATATTTTACAGATAAAGAAATATGAAGTGCATAAAGGCTAAGTAGCTTGTTCCAGGTCTCAAGAAGCAGAAAGGGTTGTGGATTGTTTGGCTCTGAGGCTCAGTTTATGAAGAGGTTTCTCCATGAGTTATCTATATTTGAGCTTACATATCCTAGTGAGTTATGTAATATTATCCCATTTTGAATATAAAAAATTAAGTTTATAACCCAAATCACACACCTGGTAAGTCATAAGAAACAAGATTCACATCCAGATTCTCTAATACTCTATCTTTCCGTTGTTACTATACCTCTGTCTCTTCAGAATCTTTTTTGGTAATTTATTTATACATTTCATCATGTTTGATGTAGTAGATATATGCAGGGTAGATATATATGCAGGGTAGATATATATGCAAGGTAGATATTTGAACCATGTTTATATTCATTGTTTACCATTTTACCTACCATCCTTCCTCGCCTGGATACTGTACAGAAGGATGTTCAGTGCGCATTTGAAAAGAAGCTGTATTCTGCTGCTGTTGGATGGAATGCTCTGTATATGTTTGTTAGGTCTATTTGGTCTAAAGTGTTTTTCATGTCTAATGTTTCCTCATTAATTTTCTGTCTAAATGATTCTTCCATTGTTGAACCTAGTGTATTGAAGTCCCCTACTGTTATTGTGTTGCCGTCTATCTCTCACTTCAGATCCTTTAATATTTGTTTTATTTATTTAAGTGCTCCAATGTTGGCTGCATATATATTTATAATATTTATATCTTCTTGATGAATTGATCCTTTTATCATTATATAATGCTTTTCTTTGTCTTTTTTTTTTTTTGAGATGGAGTCTCGCGCTGTCACCAAGGCTGGAGTGCAATGGCGCAATCTGGGCTCACTGCAATCTCCGCCTCCCAGGCTCAAGTGATTTTCCTGCTTCAGCCTCCTGAGTAGCTGGGATCACAGGCACATGCCACTGTGCCCAGCTAATGTTTGTATTTTTAGTAGAGATGGGGTTTCACCATGTTGCCCAGGCTCGTCTTGAGCTCCTGATCTCAGGTGATCCACCCGCCTCAGCCTCCCAAAGTGCTGGGATTACAGGCGTGAGCCACCGCACCTGGCCTTCTTTTTTTTATAGTTTTGACTTAAAATCTGTTCTTCTCATATATGTATAGCTACCCTCGCTGTATTTTGTTTTCTATTTGTGTGGATTATCTTTTCTCATCTCTTCCCTTTCAGTCCATGTGTATCCTTAAAAGTGAGCAGAGTCTCTTGTAGGCAGCGTATAGTTGAGTCTTCTTTTTTTTTTTTAATCCATTCAGCTACTCTATGTCTTTTTTATTAGAGAATTTAGTCCATTTTCATTTGAAGTAATTATTGATAGGTATGACTTACTACTACCATTTGTTAATTGTTTTCTGGTTTTTGTTTTTTTCTGGTTCTACTTTTTTTTTTTTTCTTCCTCTCTCTCTTGCTGTCTTCCTTTGTGGTTTGATGATTTTCTGTAGTGGTATGTTTTGAATCAATTCTATTTTTGTTTTGTGCTTTGACTAAATATTTTTGCTTTGTGGTTACCAAGATGCTTACATAAAATATCTTACAGTTAAAACAGCCTATTTCAAGCTGATAACCACTTAACTTTGATTGCATCCAACAACTTTACACTTTTAGTCCCCCAGCCACATTTTATGTTTTTGATATTGAAATTTACCATTACTTTTTTTTTTTTGATACCATGTTTCGCTCTTGTCATCCAGGCTGGAGTACAATGGTATGATCTCAGCTCACTGCAACCTCTGCCTCCTGGGTTCAAGCAATTCTCCTCCTGTGCCAGCCTTCCAAGTAGCTGGGTTTACAGGTGCCTGCCACCATGCCCAGCTAATTTTTGTATTTTTAGTAGAGACAGGGTTTCCCCATGTTGGCCAGGCTGGTCTCAAACTCCTGACCCTCAAATGATCCACATGCCTCAGCCTCCCAAAGTGTTAGGATTACAGATGTCAGCCACTATGCCCGGCCCAGAATTTACCATTGCTTTTAATGTGTATCTTTCAGTAACTTATTTTAGCTGTAGTTGTTATTAGTAATTTTGTCTTTTAATACTTGTACTAGGGATATAATTGCTTTATACACCATCATTACAGTCCTAGAGTATTCTGAGTACGGCTCTGTTTTACTTATATTACTGAATTTTCTATTTTTGTAAGTTATATGTTATTAATTAGTAATATTTTGCTTCAGATTGAATAACTTTCTTTAATAATTCTTATAAGGCAGACCTAGTGGTGATGAGCTCCCTTAGCCTTTGTTTGTCTGGGAAAGTTTTTATTTCTTTTTTATTTCTGAAATGCAGGTATTTCTGGGTAAAGTATTTTTGATTGGCAAGTTTTTTACTTTCAGCATTTTGACTATATCATCCCAATCTTTCCTGGCCTGCAGGATTTCTGCTGAGAAATCGGCTAAGAGTTGTATTGAAACTCCTTTTTATGTGATGTGTTTCTTATCTCTTGATCCTCTTAGAATCCTTTTCTTTTTGTCTTTGAGTTTCAATAGTTTGATTATTATGTGTTTTGCTGAACTCCTTTTTGGGTTGAATTTGATTGGAGATCTTTGAACTTCTTGTGCCTGGATGTTGGTTTCTGTCTCCAGATTAGGGAATTTTTCAGCCATTATTTCTTTAAATATGGTTTTTGCCCCTTTTTCTCCTTCTCCTCCTTCTGCAACTCCTATTATATAAAGGATTGGTCTCCCATAATTCCTACAGGCTTTCTTCGTTCTTTTTCATTCTTTTGTCTGTTTGCCCCTCTGACTGGATAATTTCAAATGTTCTTTCAGCTCACTGATATTTCTTCTGCTTGAGTCTGCCATTGAAACTTTTAATTGAATTTTTCAATCCAGTCTTTTTATTCTTCATCTCTAGGATTTCTATTTGGTTCTTTTTTATTGTTTCTATTTATTTGTAAAACTCCTCATCTTGTTTGTGTATTTTTTTCCAAATTTTTTAAAATTTCTATTGGTACTTTTTTTTAACTTAAGAGGATTATTCTGAATTTTTTGTCACCCCATAAATCTCCATTTCTTTAGGGTCCATTATTAGCCCTTTATTAGTTTCTTTTGGAGGTGTCATAACTCCCCAGTGCTTTGTAATCCTTGTGTCTTTGCATTGTTATCTTTTCATTTGAAGAGATACCCCCTCCTTCTGGCCTTTACAGGTGTTCTTTGGCAGGGCTAGACCTATACTATTTAGTGTAGCCTGTAATTCTTCAAGGGCCAGCTGGTAATGGCCCTGGGCAAGCAAAGCTAACTGTGGATTTTCTACCTGCCTGGGATGCTGTCTTTGCTCTGATATTGGCTGGGGCTATTGACTGGGCCCTGCTGTCTGGCAAGACCACTGGCTGAGCTCTGTTATCACACAGAGCTACTGACTGCGTACTGCAATGGCTTCTGGTCAGACTAGTCACAGAATTTATTCCCTGGCTGGAAAATTATGCTTTCTGGGATTTGCAGTTGGGCAGGGCTGTAGGCTGAACTCCAAAGTTAGGAGAAGTTGCTGCTTAGAATGATTGAGGCCAGAGGCTACACTCAGAAAAACACAATTGATGGTTGCTTCCCTGTTAAGGTGGAGCTTCCTTGTAGGGTTTCTTCCCTTTAAGATGGGCTTTTGGCTGAATTGAGTTTGACTTCCCAGGTCAAACAGTTCTAGCCCTCATGCTTCTCTGAAAGGCATGTAGATGTCCTTGATGGGGCCTTTTAGCTGAGTAGAGCCATGGATTGACTTCCTGGGTTAAGCAGGTCTACCTCATGTGTGTTTCTGAAATGGGTGGAGGTGTGTATCTCCTTGTCTTGGCAGAGGTCACTGGTGTGGGCTCTGAGACTGGACATGGGGACTAGCTATCTAAGGCCTCAAGCTAGGTTGTACTTCCCACCATGCTTCTGAAGATGACCAGCTTAGCTTTGTAAATGAACTATGAAGTTGACTAGTGTCTCAGATTGGGCACCACAGCTAGCAAGAACACAGAGGTAATGCCATGATCTGTGTGCTGGTCACTAAGACCTCTGCCTCCTTTCTTTGTTTTTACTTGACACCAGGTAGTCTAGCTATGCTGTTACCCCCAGTGTTCTCCATGAGATAAGCCCAGAGTGGGATTTCTGAGAAGCATCTTGGAAAACTAGAGATGCTGAATGACTGCCTCTAGTTTTCCTTTCCTCCTGTAAAAACCATGGGCCCAGGAAAACCCTCTTTGTCTGGTGTTGTGTTGACTTTGGCAGGAGGCAAGGTGGCAGGGTTGAAGTGAAACTATGCTTCTTAGCCTTCTAATTCAATTTTCATTCCACGTACCTTGTGGTTGTCTCATGTTAGTGTCCAAGTAGTGGAGTTTTAAAAGAGATATTCTGGTCTGGGGATAGTTGCTAGTTGAATGTTCTGTGGAGAAGAGTAGAGCCTGGGACTTTCTATTCTTCCTTTTTGCTGACATCATCAGAAAACAAACTCCCTGCCCTGGATACTGAGGTAAGCTAGTAAAGAGGTAAAGCTTCCAAAAATTGCACTGCATTATCTACAGGCTTTAACTGGCTTATTTGAGTCCACATCATGTCCTTATGAAAGCACTACTGTCTCTCTAATGCAAAGTAAATATAGTGTATGTTGGAAACAAGCCTGTCATCTTGGCCTTGTGAATTATCTAAAATATTTGGCCAAGGCTGGAATGTCGTATACAGTATGCATTCCTAAGAAGTTATTCTTATGATTCTTTGATTCAACAGCTTCTGTTTTTTTCTGACTCTTTCTACAGATTAATATTCCTCACATTTTTAAATGGAAATAGATAACCAGACGTGGGTGAGAGAATTTATTCTCCTTGGCTTATCCAGTGACTGGTGCACTCAGATATCCCTGTTTTCCCTGTTCTTGGTCACATACCTCATGACAGTGCTGGGGAACTGTCTCATTGTCCTTCTGATCAGACTGGACAGCCGACTCCACACTCCCATGTATTTCTTTCTCACCAACCTCTCCCTTGTCGATGTCTCCTATGCCACAAGCGTAGTCCCCCAGCTGCTGGCACATTTTCTTGCAGAACATAAAGCCATCCCATTCCAGAGCTGTGCAGCCCAGTTATTTTTCTCCCTGGCCTTGGGTGGGATTGAGTTTGTTCTCCTGGCAGTGATGGCCTATGACCGCCATGTGGCTGTGTCTGACCGCCTGCGATACTCGGCCATCATGCATGGAGGGCTGTGTGCTAGGTTGGCCATCACATCCTGGGTCAGTGGCTCCATCAACTCTCTTGTGCAGACTGCTATCACCTTTCAGCTGCCCATGTGCACTAACAAGTTTATTGATCACATATCCTGTGAACTCCTAGCTGTGGTCAGGCTGGCTTGTGTGGACACCTCCTCCAATGAGGCTGCCATCATGGTGTCTAGCATTGTTCTTCTGATGACACCTTTCTGCCTGGTTCTGTTGTCCTACATCCGGATCATCTCCACCATCCTAAAGATCCAGTCCAGAGAAGGAAGAAAGAAAGCCTTCCACACGTGTGCCTCTCACCTCACGGTGGTTGCCCTGTGCTACGGCACAACGATTTTCACTTACATCCAGCCCCACTCTGGTCCCTCAGTCCTTCAAGAGAAGCTGATCTCTGTCTTCTATGCCATTGTTATGCCTCTGCTGAACCCTGTGATTTATAGTCTAAGGAATAAAGAGGTGAAGGGGGCCTGGCATAAACTATTAGAGAAATTCTCTGGGTTAACATCCAAGCTGGGAACTTGACTCATGAACATTACTTTAAGAAGAAGCTTTGCCTCATTTTTCTCCACCCAGCTCAGATATGGCAGGGATAAACTATGTTGCTCTGGCAACCGGGAAGGAGATGATGTAACATGTACTGGGGATGTTATGTAGGAGGCTGAGTGGTTGAGTTGGATGGGGTGTGGGATGTGGGGATAATTTTATATCCCAGCAGTATGATTAGTGGAGTTAGCTACTGCTGTAACAGAACCTTCCACAATTTCTCAATCTCCACTCTTATGTTCTGATAAAAACTGAAAAAAAGTACTACTTACTGTTTTGGTTTGTCACATTATTTATAACCGTAGACCTATTCATACATCTTACCTTGGACCAGTGGTTCTTATTTATTGACATTTTGTAAAGGTTGTAGTGTTTGCATTGAAAACAAAATGCATTTTCACATTTGAAGACTCACTGAAAATAATTGGTTGTTTATGTAGCCACATACAATAATTATGAATCAACATTCCGAGAAGGATGTTGTTTGTCAAGGCTTATTAAAATGATTTTGTGCAGGACCTTCGAAATGTGAACAAAATGTCTTTCTCTGAGTGCTGGAAGTAATTCAGTGAAGAAATATCAATGAAAGTTCTTATTTTGCCCTGATAGGGTTAAAAAATGGTTGTTTGTAATGAAGACTATTATTAGCCAAGGAAAATTTAAGTTTCAGGCATTACTCACAGCACTCAGTTTGAGAGAAATTTTACTGTATAAGAGGTATCATTTAACATATTAAAATTGTCCAATCTCAGGAAAATTCACAAACTCCATTTTTTAATGTTTAGAAACAAAATAAGCAATAAATTATGAGATAATTTATAAAACATCAAAGACATAGTTAATCTAAGAAATGACACTCTTCAGCCAATACCAATGAAAGAGAAGACAATTTTAACATGAATTTTGAGGAGTCAGGATAGATGCCTCACCTGTGCAAATGTTACCTTCAAGCTTCCATATTAAGGACTTTTCTTATTTCTTCTCACACATACAGTAGGGCACTAGTCAACTTTCTAAACCTAGTCATCTGAGCTCGAGAGTGGGCCTCACTGCTGCTAAAATTTATAAATAATACAAAAGAAGAAGAAACAAATATATAAGGTAAAGAAGGGGAAAGAGGAGAAAAATTATGATAGTAGCTGATCATCTCACTTGCTTGAAGTAACCTAAGTCGTGTCTCTTCTTTCAGTAAGTTAATTTTCTGTTCTTCCATTGGTGACCACGTTGTCACAGATCCTCAGGTATTTATGAAGGTTCATATAATCCAAAGCCCTTTTGAAATATCAGTTTTACCTTAATTACTATTCTATCTTAAATTTTGCAAGGTAGGCAAGCATCCCCAAAAATGTCAATGGCAGCAAACTAAAATTTCTATTGGTGTTAACTTAAGCATTATCAATGGAGTGTCTAGTACGTGTCAGTGACAATGAATGGTTCTGGAGACTCTGTAGTGAATATGATACAATTCTGGGTTGCATAGCAGGGATGATGGATAATGAAGCAATTATAAAGTAATGTTGTAAATATTACAGATAGAGTAAGCCCATCAGGGGTGTCACAAAAGTCTTCCTGTTAAAAGAAAACAACATAAAATGTCTAGATTGAGACCAGGAAAGTGAGAGCAAGTTATCCAGATGAAAAGGAACTGGAGGAAATGAAAAACCTGAGCCAAAGTGCAGAGGGCGAGACTTGAGTATCCAGAAATATCTGGAAGCTGCACTTGTAGGGCAGAGAAGAGTGAGGAAGTAGTGAGAAGTAGTGAGGATGAAGTGGATGGGTAGGTATGCATTGGTTCATGGCGGGCACTGAATGCCACATTATCTTTCAACTATATCCTAATAGCAATGGGAAGTCAGTAATGATTTTTTTTTTTGACAGACTTTTGCTGTGTCTCCCAGGCTAGAGTGCAGTGGCGCGATCTCGGCTCACTGGAACCTCCGCCTCCTGGGTTCACGCCATTCTCCTGCCTCAGCCTCCCTAGTAGCTGGGACTGCAGTTGCCTGCCACCACGCCAAGCTAATTTTTTGTATTTTTAGTAGAGATGGGATTTCACAGTGTTAGCCAGGATGGTCTCGATCTCCTGACCTCGTGATCCACCTGCCTAGGCCTCCCAAAGTGCTGGGATTACAGGCGTGAGCCACTGCGCCCGGCCAGAAGTCAGTAATGATTTTTAAGCAGAAGAATGGCTTGATAAATTTTACATTTCTGAAATATCACTGGCAAATGAGATAGAGGAATAAAAAATTGGAAGCAAGAAGTCAATCTAGTGGGCTGCTCCATTAATGCCATTTAGACACTAGAGGAATCTGAACTAAGGGTGTGACAGTCGTCTTAGGCCTGCAGGGCTGAGCTCAGCAGGCTGGGTGAGCATAGACAGGTCAGTTCACGGTAAATATCAAATGGAAAAATGTGGAGATCACTGAGTTTTGAAGCATAGGTGCAGATAAAAGAGGAAATTGCATCATTATCATTATAGTAAAAATTTCAAGGCTGCTTACCCAGACATTAGGCCTTGATGACCTAGTTCACTAATTAGAAAAGTTATTGCTGTATACGGTGTAATGTTGAAGATACTGACATGAATGACTCACTCTGTGTGGGCTTCAAGGATCATTGACTTATGATGAGCTTTAATGAAATACAACGTGTCCCCTGCCTATATTTCAACCTATTCTTTGCACTACTTGTTTCTTGGATCAAGAGCAAACCAAGTTAGAAGGAAACTGGATCTCCAATCTGGATCAGATTCTGTGGTCTGGTCTGTTGAGGCTTAAGACCATGTGCTCCTGCTGAGTCCTCATAAGATGACTCCTGTAGACAGGGAGTTAAGAAGTGTGAAGTGTATGGTGTCAAGATGGAACAGACACTACCCAGGCCTTATCCCTCCCTGTGGAGGGAAGTAGGTTGGGTTCCACAGACTTTCCTGAGAGATGGACTGGTCTGGGGCCTCCATGGCTGGGCTGGAAGGCTGGGTGGGTCACTATAGTTTCTGCCTCTCGGTCCTTTTCTTCTGAGTTATGAAATGAATAAAGATACAGCCAAAAAACTTTCAAGAAGGGAATGGATCCCTTCTGCTCTAGTGATCAAGAAAGCATAGATGTGTCTAGAACTGGTTAGATAATTTTATATAAGGAGATTTAGGAGAGAAGAATTTTATAAGTGGCAGAATGACTATCAGTCAAATCTTAATAGTGAGAAATCATAGGTGTATGTAAGGGTGTAATTTTTCTAAAACTAAGGTTATGCAGAGAATTAAATTATCAGGCTAAATGTTTCCAAATGCGTATTCATTAGCCTGAATCCTAGACTTCTCACTATTCTGGGCTTTCCTCTAAGGGGCTTGAAAATTCTAAATACGCCTCTTAAATTGTAGAGGTCTGAAATAAACACGTGACTTCAAGTGTGACCTGATCCGATCAGTGTCTAATTCTGTGGCAGGGACTGGCTAGTTGCTAATTGGACTCATTGTTTTCTTCTCCTTGGTACAGAATTAGACTAAATATGAGCCTATTTCCGAAGGCAGCTATGGCCACGGGACAAAGTTTTTTTTTTTTTTGAAACGGAGTCTCACTCTGTCGCCCAGGCTGGAGTGCAGTGGCGCGACCTCGGCTCACTGCAAGCTCCGCCTCCCGGGTTCACGCCATTCTCCTGCCTCAGCCTCCTGAGTAGCTGGGACTACAGGCGCCCGCCACCGCGCCTGGCTAATTTTTTTTTTTTTTTTTGTATTTTTAGTAGAGACGGGGTTTCACTGTGGTCTCGATCTCCTGACCTCGTGATCCACCCACCTCGGCCTCCCAAAGTGCTGGGATTACAGGCGCGAACCACCGCGCCCGGCCCACGGGACGAAGTTCTAACCACTGGAGCATGCATACACAGAAAATATGCCACCTCCAGGCCTGGCCGGTTGAAACCTCCTGAGCGCCAGCCTCTGGTGCTTATTGTCTTGCTCTGAAATCATCTCAATCTCGGGAATCTAGAACAGGGTGGGCCTGGGCAGTAGAAGAGTCACTGGTGGAGAAGGTGTGGGTCCCGAGTCACTGACAGGACGAGAGTTTCCCAAAAGAACCACTTCACCAGAGTCACCTACATAAAAATTTTGTGTAAATGAGAAAGAAAGTTTTATTGTGCTAATTGATGGTTATTTTGGAATTGCTTATTTCAGCAATTAGCCTACTGAAGAACACACAAAGATTTTTCTTAATATAATCATTTCAGAAATATCCTTAGGATATCTATTTAGCACTGTACTTCTTATAAATTACAAATGCTTTTTGTCTTAGAGTAACTCACAATGTTATCTATTTCTTATAACCTGGACTTTGTAAGTACTATAAATGTGTTTAGATGGCTTTAGATTTTCAACTTTTAAAGTGAATAACCAGTACCAAGAATGCTCAATCAAAAAGCTTCAAGTCTTTATGGTATAAACTGATGTTGAACCAACACTGCAAAGTCCGTAATTTGCATTTGACTTTTTTGAGCCTAAATGCTATGCTACTATTAATAAATAATAAGGAATACTTTTTTATATTGCATTCTTTATTAAGGTATAATTTATATACTGTGAAATTCACCCTTTTTTATTCTCAGTTCTGTAAGTTTTGAAAAATGCATGTAATTGCATAAACATCACCACAATCAGGTTATATAAGAGTTTCATTTCCCCAAACATACCTTTGTGTTCCTTTGTGCTCAATTTATTTTCTTGGACATCACCCACTGGTGATCACTAATTAGATTTCTGTCTTTATATGCTTGCCTATGCAAAATATCATATACATGAAATAGTATAGCATGTAGCTTCTTTACTCTGACTTTTTTCCTTGCATAATGCATTAAGTTGCACTCATGATGTTACAAGTTACAGTAGATCATTCTTTTTTATTGCTGACTAATATTCTATTGTATGCATGCACAATATGTCAATTTGCTATTTTGAAGTACATTTGCATTGTTTCTACATTTTATAATTGTGACAAAAACTATTGTAAACATTCGAGTACAGATTTTTAGGTAAACATACGTGTTTATTTCAATTGGGTAAGATGAAATCTCCCATAGGAGTCGTATGGCTAGGCTATATGCCAAGAGCATGTCTATGTTCATAAGAAGGTGCTGAACTATTTTTAAATGTGATTGTACCCTTTGCATTTGCATCCATACTATCATATATTAGTTATTCCACATCATTTTCCACATTTACTATTGGTAGTTATTTATTATATTATTTTATTTCTAATTGACAATACTTGTATATATTTATGAGATACAATGTGATGTTTTGATATATGCATATATTGTGAAGTAATTAGATCAAGGTAATTAACATATCCATCCCCTCATACACTTATTTTTTGTGATGATAACACTTAAAATTTATGCTCTTAGCAATTTTGAAATATGCAATACATCATTATTAATTATAGTAATTATGCTGCGCAATAGATCTCAAAATGTATTCCTTCTGTCCATTGAAAACTTTTTACCCTTTCACCAATATCTCCTTGTTTCCCTCTGTACCCTACCCCCACCACAACCTCTGGTAACCATCATTATACTCTCTACTTCTATGAGTTCAACTTTTTAAAGATTTTTTTCAAAACTTTTATTTTAGGTTTGGTGGTACATGTGAAAGTTTGTTACATAGGTAAACACATGTCATGGGGGTTTGTTGTACATATTATTTCATCACCCAGGTATTAAGCCCCAGTACCCAATAGTTATCTTTTCTGCTCCTCTTCCTCCTCCCGTCCTCTCCTCTCAAGGAGACTCCAGTGTCTGTTGTTTCCTTCTTTGTGTTCGTAAGTTCTTATCATTTAGCTCCCACTTATAAGTGAGAATGTGCAGTATTTGCTTTTCTGTTCCTGAGTTAGTTTGCTAAGGATAATAGCCTCCAGCTCCATCCATGTTCCTGAAAAAGACATGATCTCATTCTTTTTTATGGCTGCATAGATGTCAAACTATCCCTGCAGACAACATGATTCTATATCCAGGAAACCACACAGTCTGGGACCCAAAGCTCCTCCAGCTGATAAACCACTTTAGCAAAGTTGCAAGATACAAAATCAATGTACAAAAATCACCAGCATTCCTATACACCAACAACAGCCAAACTGAAAGCCAAATTAAATTGCCACAAAAAGAATAAAATACCTAGGAATACAGCTAATCAGGGAGGTAAAAGATCTCTACAATGAGAATTACAAAACCATGCTCAAGGAAATCAGAGAACACACAAACAAATGGAAAAATATCCCAGGCTCATGGATAGGAAGGATCAATATCAAAATGGCTATGCTGCCCAAAGCAATTTACAGATTCAATGCTATTCCTATCAAACTACCAATGACATTCCTCACAAAACTAGAAAACACTATTTTAAAATTCATATGGAGCCAAAAAAGAGACTGAATAGCCAAGGCAATCCTAAGCAAAAGAACAAAGCTGGGGGCATCAAGCTACCCAACTGCAAATTATACTACAGGCAACATGTTGGTGAGGGCGTAGAGATAAAAGACCCTTGTACGCTCTTGTTAGGAATGAAATTTAATACAATTTTTGAAGTTAGACATTCTAATAGATTCATAGTAACATCTCATTGTGGTTTTAATTTGAATTTTTTTGAAGGACTAGTGATCATTGCACTCCAGCCTGATCGACAAGAACAAGACTCCGTCTCAAGGAAAAAAAGAAAAACGAAACAGTAATCCCATCATGAGGGCTCCACCCTCTGACCTAATTAACTCCCAATGGTCTCACCTCCCAATACCATCACACTGTGGCATCAACATACGAATTTTGGGTGAACACCAATATTCAGTTCATAACAAGCATGGTTAGTTTTGTAAGAAACTGCCAAAGTGTCCTTCAAAATGGTAACATTTAGCGTTCGCACCAGCGCTGAATGAGTCTTCCCTTGAACTACATCTTTATCAGCATTTGATATTGTCAGTGTTCTGGATTTTGACCATTCTAATAGGTGCGTAGTGATATCTTGTGGTTGTTTTAATTTGCATTTCCCTTATGATATATAATGTGGAGCTTCTTTTCATATGCTTATTTGCCACCTGTATCTCTCCTTTGGTAAGTCAACTGTTAAGGTCTTTGTCCCATTATGTAATCAAGTTGTTTATTTTCTTATTTTTGAGTTTTGAGAGTTCTTTGTAGATTTTGGATTACAGTCCTATATCAGATATGTCTTTTGCAAATATTTTCTTTTTTTTCACAATTTATGAATTAAGTATATTTTGTCTATATTCAAATGAGGACATTAACATGAATTACAACATAAATGCACAGATATTTTCAGGTATGCTCATATTATGTTTCACATATTTTGTAATAACACAAGGCAGTAAAAAGAAGTTCAAATAATTTATTTCTTGGGTGCTTTCTTTAGGTTAGTTAAAACCTAACTTCCTAGTCTGTAACTGAGTCAGATACACAGAAAATAGCAGACCTGGGGAAAAAATGTTATTATTTTATTCAGTATAAGAACTTCAAAGTATGAACGCATTATTTTCCAAACTAAATAAAAGTATTTGAAAAATTAATATAGGCTGTATAAGCTTATATGACTTAGTCTTAATCATAAGGACCTTAACTTTTTACTCTGTAGGTACATTATATAAAAAACTAAGAGTAAATTTCGTGAGTTTTATAATTTTATTACATATTCTGTCTTAGAAAGGAACTAGATTTCCTTTCCTTTTTTATCCAATATAAGAGCAGAAACTAATCAGTTTTCTTGAGTGTTAAAGTAATAATTAGGGTCTATTTTAGGTATGGATTATTCTAGACATTTTCACATTTTTTATTGTTCTTAGTTATTTTATAGTAGAAATAACTATCACTATGCATGAGAAAGAGAGTGTTTTTCACTCAAGTGTCTCATTCTACAACTGCAGTTAATTTTACAAGGAAATAATTTGTCGTTTTCTAAAATGACCCTTTAAATGCTGCTGGCAAATATTTTATCCCAGTCTGTGTCTTGTCTTCTCATTCTCTTGACAGCTTATTTCACAGAACACAACATTTTAATTTTATTAAGTCCAGCTTATTAGTTATGTCTTTCATGGATCATTCCTTCGGCTTTCGTCTTGTATCTAAAGAGTCATTGCCAAACTCAAGGTCGTCTAGAATTTCTCCTATGTTATCTGCCAGAAGTTTTATATTTTTGTTTTGTTTCACATTTAGGACTATGATTCATTTTGAGTTAATTATTGTAAAGAGTGTAAGCTCTTTGCATGGATTCCCTTTTTTTTTTTTTTTTTTTTTGGCGTGTGGGTGTCCAGTTCTTCCAGCACCACTTGTTGAAAACACTGCCTTTTCTCCACTGTATTCCCTTTATTCCTTTGTCAAAGATCAGTTGACTATATGCATGTGGGTCAACTTTTGGACTCTCAGTTCTAGTCTATTGACCTATTTGTCTATTCTTTCATCAATACCGTCATTTTCTGATTACTGTAGCTTTATAGTAAATCCATACCAGGCAGTGTCAGCCTTCCAACTTTATTATTCTTCTTCAATATTGTTTTGGCTCTTCCGGGTCTTTTACCGCTCCATAAAAACTTTGGAATTAGTTTGTCAATATTCACAAATTAGCTTGCTGGGAATTGTTTGCAATTATATTAAATCTATGGGTCAATTTGAGAAGAACTAATATCTTGACAATATTGAGTCTTCCTATCTCTAAGCATGGAATTTCTCTCCATTTATTTAATTCTTCTTTGGTTTCTTTCATCAGAGTTTTGTTTTCTTCAAATATATCATGTACATATTTTGTTAGATTTGTACATATTTCTTTTCTAGGTGTAAATGTAATAAAATTGTGTTTTTAATTGCCATTCCACTTGAACATTGCTGATCTATAGAAAAGAAATTGACTTTGTATATTAGCCTTTAGTCACTTAGTTCTAGGAGTTGTTTTTTATTCTTTCAGATTTTCTGCATAGATAATTATGTCATTTGTGAGTGCAGACAATTTTATTTCTTCATTCTCAATCTGTATACATTTTGTTTCCTTTTATTGTCTTATTGCATGCGTTGACCAGGATTTTTGGTATGATGTTAAAAAGCAGTGGTGAGAGGGGACTTCCTTGTCTCGTACCTAATCTTCATGAGAAAGCTTCCATTTTCTTACCATTGAATATGAAGTTACTTGTAGGTTTTGGTAGATATTCTTTTCAAATCTAGGGAATCTTTGTAGTAAATCCATATCAGGCAATGTCAGTCTTCCAACTTTATTATTCTTCTTCAATATTGTGTTGGCTCTTGCGGATCTTTTACCTCCGCATAAAACGTATGGTTCCCTTCTATTCCTAGTTTACTGAGAGTTTTTTAAAATCATGAATAGGTGTTGAATTTTGTCAGTTTTTATTCTGCATCTATTTGTATGATGATGTAATGTTTTTTAAGCCTGCAGATGTGATAGATTGGATTAGCTGATTTTTAAATGTTGAGCCAGCCTTGCATACTGGGATAAATCCTACTTGGTCATATTGTATAATTCTTTTTATACATAGCTGGATTCAGTTCGTTAATATTTTGTTGAGGATTTTTGCATCAATGTTCATAAGAGATATTGTTCTCCAGTTTTCTTATAATGCCTTTGTCTCTTTTTGTCTTTGTATTTGGGTAATGCTAGCCTTATAGAATGAGTTAAGAGGAGTCCCTGTGCTTGTATCTTCTGAAAGCAAATTGTAGAGAATTGGTATATTTTCTTCCTTAAATGTTTGGTAGTATTCACCAGCAAACCCAACTAGGCATGGTGCTTTCTGTTTTAAAAGATCATTGATTACTGATTCAATTTATTAATAGACATAGGCCTATTCATATTTTATTTCTTCTTCTGTGAGTTTTAGCAGATTCTGTCTTTTAAGAAATTCATTGATCTAGGTTATCAAATACGTGGGCATAGAGTTGCTTATGATAGTATTCCTTGACTATCCTTTTAATGTCCCTGTCTTCTTTTTCATCCCTGGTATTAGCAGTTTTTGTCCTCCTTTTTTTTTCTTAATTAGCCTGGCTAAACACTTAGCAAAATTATTGATATTTTTAAAGACTGGCTTTTGGTTTTATTCCAGTTTTATTTTGATTTGTTATTTTCAATTTCATTGATTTCTGCTCAAATTTTAATTATTTGTTTTCCTCTGCTGAGTTTGAATTTAATTTGCTCTTTTCCTAATTTTCTAGGGTGGAAGCCTAGATCATTGATTTGGAAGTTTTCTTCTTTTCTAATGTATGCATTCCATGCTGTAAATTCCTCTTGAGCACTACTTTCACCGCATTTCACAAATTTTAACAAGTTGTGTTTTCATTTTCATTTAGTGAAATGTATTTTTAATTTCTTTCAAAATTTCTTCTTCGATCCATATGTGATTTAGGATCATGTTGTTTCATTTTCCCCATTTCACTTTTTCTTCCTGTCTCACTAGATTTTCATATCAAGTGCACATTGTTTATTATTCCATTTTATCATTGCTATTAGCTTATCTTTATACCACTCACGTTTTTTAGTGGTTACTCCATAGCTTACAATATACACTTTAATTAATTTGAATATAACTTAAATGATATGATATCCTTTCATGGGTAGCATATAACCTTCAAATAATATACTACTACTTGCTGCCTTACATTTGTATGCTATTATTGTCAGATATTTTACATTTACATTAAGCAATGAACACAAAGTACATTGCTATCATTTTTGCATCAGACAATTATCTTGTAGTGTGCTAAACATTTTCAAAATAAATTTTATGCTAATCTTCAATTTTATCATTTCCAGGGTTCTGTGTGTGTGTGTGTGTGTGTGTGTGTGTGTGTGTGTGTTTACATATCCAACTTTCTGTCTGCTATAATATTTCTTTTGCATAGAGACCTGTCATTGAAACTTCTCATTTAGGTCTGCTGGAAATGTATTTATTCAGTTTTTGTTTGTCTGTAGACGAATTTATTTCCCCTTTGTTTTCAAAAATGTTTTCTTTTTCTACATACAGAACTATTAGGTGATAGATTTCTTCTTCCTGCCTCAGGGTTTGAAAAATGTAACTCTATTGTCCTCTGGCCAGCATAGTTTCTAACAAGAAGTCAGCGTTGATTTGAATCTTTGTTCTTCTAGATATGATGTGTCTTTTTTTCTCAGCCTGCATTCAGAGTATCCACTTTATTTTTTGATTTTTGGCAGTTTGACTGTTATGTATCTAGGTGTTGGTTTATTTGTTTTTAGTTTTAATTTTTGAGCTTCTTGAAGTTGTGCTTCAATTTCTTTACTCATTTTTCTTAGCCATTATCTCTTTAAATATTAAAAAAAAAATTTTTCTAGGACTTTTCAGTTGCTTCCATGTTAGATTGTTTGATGTTGTCACAAAGTCCTCACCTGCTCTCTTCTCTTTCTATTTTTGTTGTTTTTTTCTCTTTGTGCTACTGTTTTGCCAATTTTTATTAATGCATCTTTAGACTCATTGGTTGTTTCTCAGCTCTGTTGAGTCTCTTATAAGCATTCTTCATTTCTGTTACTGTGTTCTTCATGTATAGCATTTTCATTTGATTCTTTTGAATAGTGTTTAATTATTTGCTGAAATTCCTCCTGCCTTTATGCAGAGTGTTTGTCTTTTCCACTAGATCCTTCAATTTATTAATGAGAGTTATTTTAAACCTCTGTGTATAGTTCCTTTTTAAAAGTCTGTGTCTGATTCTGTTTCTGTCCATTGCTTTTTCCAGTAACAGTGTTTTGTTTGTTTTTTTTTTCCATTTCTCAGATATTTATTTTGGTTGAAACCGCAACACTGTGTGTGTAGGACAGTAGACTCTGAGACAGATAGTATAATGTTTTGCAATGGGCATGTCTTTTCTGTTTATTCTGTAGTGCTGTGTGTGTGGGGTGTGGGCATCAATGCAGTCATGAGTTAAGCAGGGTTTGAGTTTTGTTGCGTGGTTATCCTCAGTGAGTGCACCAACAAATCTAAATTTTTGTAACAAATTTTACCTAGGGTGGGATATTCAATTATCGAGAGATTTTGCAACATTGCTGTTCCACCCTCAGTTTTAAGCTCTGCCTATGAGACTACATATCAGAGAGTATGTCCTTCCATGCGCTGCCTCTCTCCCCATAATACACTTCTGTTATTTGTTCTTTGATTTTTACTAGCCTGGTGATGGAAGGGGAGGGTTTATTCTCCATTTTTCTCATTCTATCTGAATCTTAGAAACAACTTTTGTCCTTGTGCGATAGAGTTAAGGCTTTCTCGGTGATCTTGTCTCACCTTCAGCCTTAGGAGACAGCTCATGCTCTGAACCTAGAATGGTTTTCTGCCCCACAGAAACTCCAGGGCTAGCAACTTTTTTCAGTTTTCTTCCCTCAGCAATGAGTCTTCATCTTTCTCTAGGAAAGAACAGAGTTTTTGCTCTTTCTCCAGTGGCTCAGTGTTTTGTTCACCAAGGAAGGCAGACTTGGTAGGAGGGAGAGTGTTTTCTGCCTCCTATAGTAGACGTTGCTGTCTTTCCCTAGACCTGCACGATGAAGGAAGCTTTTTCTAGTTTTCCACCCTCCTCCAAACATTCTTGTTAAGACTGTTTAAAGTCTGAGGAGAAAATCTTGAGTATAAGTATGAACTCCTTTTCTATTTGTGGTTCCTCCCTCTCTACACTCATAGTACTCCTCACTTAGCCTTTAGCATTTTAGCAAAGCAGTTCTTCCCGGTTCGTATGTTGGCCTCACTTTTCTCCCATGCTCTGGCCTAGATAAGGCAGAGCTCATTTCCTGTGTCTCTTTGGAGGTATCTATCTTTCCTGAGTTTTCATGCTTGTAGGTTTCCCTGCAACTTTAGCTCTCTAATGAATTCAGAAATAGTTATGACTTTGTAGATTATCTGGCTTCTTCCTATTTAGAATGGAAGCAATGTTCTTTCTAGCTTTCTATAATCCATATAGACTCTAGACTAGAAGAAACTCAGTTATTTTTAAGGTCTGTTTTAACAGATAAAGCATAAGTGGGTAAATGTGTGCTAATTTTCAGCTAAATTCTTACAGCCATAGAATTTTTCCAGTATGACTCAAAGAAAATGTACTATCAACCATTTCAATTCTATGTGGGTATTTAGAAACTGGGGAGAAGGATGAGAAGAGTATTTACTTTTTCTCTTTATTGCCTGGAATATCACAGAACCTTTGTCAAAGTCATCCAGTGCTATAATATCAGAAGCTATGATAGTCTGATGGAATGAAGTAGTGATGTTACAGTGGGTAAGTATAGAAGATTTAGTAACTAAGTAAAGGATATCAGGGAAATAGATGAGTTGGCACGTGGATGATAGAATTCATCAACACGCGGGGGAGTAGTTAAGCAAAAGCATGAGTGAGTTTTGAGATGATGATAGTTGTACAATGAGTGCACAGGTAGATGGTGGTGCTGAGGAATTCCCAGGCATTTGACTGGGTAGCTGAATGATTAATGTATTAATAATTCACTTAAAAGGTGCTTGAAGGCCAGGCACAGTGGCTCACACCTGTAATCCCAGCACTTTGGGAGACCTAGGCAGGTGGATTGCTGAGCTTAGGAGTTCAAAACAAGCCTGGGAAACATGGCAAAACACCATCTGTATGAAAAATACAAAAATTGGCTGGATTTGGTGGTGCATGCCTGTAGTTCTAGCTACTTGGGAGGCTGAGGTGGGAGAATCACCTGAGCCTGGGAGATTGAGGCTGTGGTGAGCTGTGATCACACCACTGTACTCCAGCCTGGGCGACAGAGTGAGACTCTGTCTGAAAAAAAAAAAAAAAAAAAAAAACTCATTTAAACAAACCCAGTAAAAAAAAAGGGGGGGGGGTGCTTGAGGCATAAATAATATGTCAGAATGGTAACATGACTCTGTTCTTTCAAAATTGCATCAAACCTCTTCCTAGGTATTAAAAATTTAAAGAGATATAGAAAGTTAACCATTCCATGTTAAGGATTGTATTAGGCTGTTCTTGCATTGCTACAAAGAAACACCTGAGAGAGGGTAATTTATAGAGAAAATAGGTTTAATTGGCTCATGGTTCTGCAGGCTTTACAAACATGGCACCAGCATCTATTCGGCTTCCAGGGAATCCCCAGGGAGCTTTTACTCATGGTAGAAGGCAAAGTGGGAGAAGGCACATCGCATGGAAAAAGGAGAAGCAAGAGAGAGAGATTGCGGGTGGGGAGGTGCTCACAGTTTTTTTTTTTTTTTTTTTTTTTTTTTTTGGAGAGACGGAGTCTCGCTCTGTCGCCCAGGGTACAGTGCAGTGGCGCGATCTCAGCTCACTGCAACATCCGCCTCCCGGGTTCAAGCAGTTCTCCGGCCTCTGCCTCCCGAGTAGCTGGGATTACAGGTGCACGCTGCCACGCCCAGCTAATTCCTTTTGTATTTTAGCAGAGACAGGGTTTCACCGTGTTGCCCAGTCTGGTCCCGAACTCCTGAGGTCAGGCAATCTGCCCGCCTCGGCCTGGCCTCCCAAAGTGCTAGGATTACAGGCGTGAGCCACCGCGCCCGGCCCCCACACTTTTATTTTATTTTATTTATATTTATTTATTTTTTTGAGACGGAGTCTCTCTCTGTTGCCCAGGCTGGAGTGCAGTGGCGCGATCTCAGCTCACTGCAAGCTCCACCTCCCGTGTTCACGCCATTTTCCTGCCCCGGCCTCTGAGTAGCTGAGACTACAGGCGCCCGCCACCACGCCCGGCTAATTTTTTGTATTTTTAGTAGAGACGAGGTTTCACTGTGTTATTCAGGATGGTCTGGATCTCCTGACCTCGTGTTCGCCCCGCCTCGGCCTCCCCAAAGTACTGGGATTATAGGCGTGAGCCACCGTGCCCGGCCCGCCCCCACACTTTTAAATGACCAGATCCTGTGTGAACTCAGAGAGAGACCTCACTTAACACCAAGGGGGATGACTCAAGCCATTGATGAGGGATCCACTCGCATGATCCAAACGCCTCCCACAAGGCCTCACCTCCAAAATTAGGGATGACAAGTCAACATGGGAATTGGCGGGGACATACATTCAAACTATATCAAGGATTTTGGATAAACTTTTGCTTTCTTTTCTTTCACCCTGTAGATCGTAAGACTTTCTTTATGTAGGTCTTATTGATAGTCTTAGCTCTTAATTAAAATCTTAAAATAATGCGATGCTGTTAGTATTGGAACTTAACACCATGAAAATATACTTAGTTTTCTATCCACACTTGCAATGGTCAGGGAAACTCTTTGCACAAAACTCTGGGGGTTGAAGCACGATTCTCTTATCTATAGACAGAGGTAAGGGCATCCTAGTGCCAAATATAAAAATTGGCTTGGTTCACCAGGTATGGATGGAGACCCATAACTGCTCATTGGAATAGGGGCTTTGAGGGCTAAAACTCAAGTTCAAGCTACAGGAGAACATCTTAAATCTCACAAAGCTGGCTTCTGTGACTTTTTAGAGTGATCTAAGGCTTCAGTGGAGTTTTTGAGGGGAGAGGGATGGAGGAGCACAGCTTTCCATAGGGACAGGAAGGGCCGCATGGAGGCTCTGCTCTGGAGAACTGGGAGTGGTGACAATTAGCACTCTAATGCATGAAGCTCCTGAGGGAACTCTCTCAGCCCTTCTGTGCAAAGTCAGCCACTAACACACTTCCGTAGGTCTGCGGATCAGCCAATTTGAGGGCGTCTATGAAGTTCCTCCCAGTAGTTTTTCTCTCAATCTAAACTAGTCTCAGGTGATTTCTGAGCCCCTGAGTCCGAGGAGTCTGGGATCCTTAAACTCCATCATCCATCATTTTGTTGGAGGAGAGCATTCTTTACAAAACAACTTAAACGTTTACTGAAATAGGTAAGTCCACTTTTTCAGGCTCTGATGAATATTTTAGACCTCTTAATAGAAATTTCAGCAGAGGGTGAGTGTCAAGAGAAGTTTATAGAGAGGTAGAAGTCATTCTTACATGCAATTTTAGGAAGTTTGGATCAGAAATATGAACCACGAATGATGAAATCGTCTCACCCTAAGTATTGAAACAAATGTAATAAAATAATTTTGTTTTCCAGAAGCTGGAGAACTAACTACACTTTCATTTTATGGGTTTCTCAATTTCAATCTTTATTACTAGTAGAAAAGAAGAGAGAGTGAAAACAGAGGTTGGGGAAGAAAATAATTATTAATTTTTAAATAGAGATACCATGGATGAATTCTACATTATTTTTGGGAAAGACACTTAGAGGAGAAACTCGTAGCTATAAAACTTTTACTTAGATGTTGATTGATATCCATGAACATGTGGCAGGAATATATTACCTTTCCAAATATGTATATTTCCAGATAAATTGTCAATTGTTTTAATGTCTTTTCTCTCAATTATTTCCCTAAGAGTATTTTGATTTTAATTTTCCTTTCTATGATGGAAATTTTAAATGTAAGATGATGAAATAAATTGATAGATGTCTACAGCTCTCAGAATATGAACTGGTACTACAGTTGATGCCCCTGACTCAGGCTTCGTTAATCTAGAGTGTGTTGTAGAGTTGAGACTATTGATAGTCACTGTTGAGACTATCCAGACTAAGGAAATTATGTGCAAAAGAATACCCTAGACTTAGATATAGAAGAGAGGAGATATAAAGAAGATGAGCATTTACAGAATGAAACCATGATAAAACATATCGGCAAAGGCGAATTTTAGGATTGCACCATATTTGAGACACTGGGTCTAATAATTGGACTCAGATTATATGAAAAGTCAACCAAATCAAGACAGGAAATAGACAACAAGGTCTCAAAGAAGAAAGACTAATTGTCTTCTCAGGATATCTAAAACCATCTTTGAGATCTCACCCACCCAGTGGCACTTGGGTTCTGGGTGTCCAAATGTTAGGATGATGGAAATACTTCTGCCCATGATGGATGCATTCAGCGTATACAACCAAGTGCTCAACCGCAGGTCAGATGCACCTTCCTCTAAATGAAATGAACATTTCTAATGACAGCCCAAGTCTGTAAAGGAAGGTGTCTGGTTTATTTAGAGCAGCATGAAAGAAAAACGTATGTTTTTTTGTGGGACTTAACCTTCATGTGCTCTGTTGAATACAGAGTATTCAGAGCTCTATTTGCCTCAGCTAAGATTGTAGAGGACTCCAATAAGAAGGGCAAATAGGATTAAAACTCAGTGGAGTATTAGAATCATGGTGTACTCATTTTCTGGAGAGAAAGTTTTTGGCTTTTTAGTCCTTAGCTTTAGGGAATTATCACTATAATGAATAAGAGAATATTGGTAATATGCCCCGAAGCCTCAGTATGTCTCAGAATAAATTTACAAGGCTCTTACAAGGTTTTATTTAACCATGCACTCTTTGAATTGATGTAAATATTGGAAAGGATTATATTCAGAAATATATTTTTGGAATGTGAGACATTGAGGAATGCTTTTCTGGCGTGCATACCTCCTGAGTCTTTCCAAGTCAACACTTCCCTCTTCCTAATATGGAGGAAAAGGGAGAAGTTAATGTCTTAAGCCAGCCAGTCAATAGAGGTAGAAAATTATGTTAGATACTTTAAAATGTATAATACACTGACTGGGGTAGGATAGCAAATCATGGAACTCAATGTTGCGAATGGAAAATATACCTAGGTGTCAAGCCCTGGACATTTGATTCCTTGCAAGAATAAATTGAATATATTTCAGTCTTGGTCCACAGAGTAGCAATGGAATTTAAATGCAATTAAAAATAATAAAACAAAAATGTGAACAGCAGCACGTGAAGACATTTCCAGAGCCCCACAAATTATGATCCTGTCTGCGTGGCACCAACACAGTGATAAGTTCTGTCAATGCCTGATTGATCTTTAACTATGGGTCTGGCTTCTCATCTTTTACTTGATGAACAGTGGCTCATGGTTCCTCCAACGTCTTCTCATTTCATTAAAGCAGCAATAGGGGGAGGATGTGGCAAAAGGCTGAAAAGGAACTTTAGGGGAGAAGTCATTGTTGCTTGGGGCTGTACCCTTTCTTCTCAGCATTCTGCAGAGCTGTAGGGAGCTGAGCATGGATGGCACCCCCATCTCGGAGATCAACTCTTCAGGGTTAAATAAAATTCTAACAGACTAGTTGGCGGAATGATTGCATAATTTCAAAATACCAGATGTTTACAACAAATATTAACATATATCACTGCCTAAGAATTTACTATGAGTAAGATATTTAACTTCACTTAAGATCTTGCCTTTCCCTGTGTTCTTTTTAAGAAGGGGAGAGGAAAAGGCAATTTTAGAACAGGGGCCACATCTGCTGGAAGGCAGGCCTGAATATAGAGAGCTACAGAGACTTGCATGGAGCTTTTTGGCTCATAGATAAGGGGTTAGAATATAAATTCAGAGAAAGGAAGGCAGGAACGTCTATATAGCCCAATTTTATCTACCCCATCCAGATAAAGGCTAGTCCAGGTTTGAACATCTGCTAACATGGTTCTGTGAATTTTTCACTCTTCATCTTCTTCAGGTGACATATATTTTCAGTCAAAGATATTATAAGATGGTAGTCGATTGAAACAATAAGAAAAAGAGTAATGGGTGAATTTACCGAGATAGGATAGGTTGAAAAAGAACATTTAATTTGTTGCAATTTAGATTTAATTTTTATAATAAAGAAAATAGATTCCATGGAATCAATGAATTGATTTGCTTTACTAAAGAGAGATCTTGACTGATTGAAATTTAACTGTTAAATTAGAGTTTTTTTGTTATGTAAAATGAACTGTGTGAGGAATCTAAACACTTATTTTTTTGTTCTTTCTTTGTCGTTGATAGAAGAATATTTCAGTCCTGATATTTGCTGTAACTAATAATTACTGGATAAACAGAGAAGACACATGGAGGATATTTTACCTGGGTCCAACAAAAGTAATTTTGTTTTATTTATTTGTTTGACAAATAAAAATTGTATATATTTATGGCATAGATTTTAAGAAATCTTGTTACAAAAATAATATGTATGTGATGTGATGCATATATTAATTAGCTTAACTTAGCCATTCCAATAAAGGTAATATTTATCTAGAAAATTTTGAGCTTTGCTATTCATACCTCTTCTCTGATTTTTTTCCTGTAATTTTCAGGTTATTTACATCTAAAACTCCAGCTTTTACTATTATGTGATGTAAAGGATCAGTGTAAGCTGTTATACCAGTTGATAATGTTTAGGTACTTTATATTATAAAAGTTTCATTTAGCATTATTGCATTTTTAAACATTTCACAAAAAAGGACAATGTGCAACATAAATGTAATACATTTCAGGAATTAGAGACAGGGCTTTAAAAAAGATAATCATTCACAGAATATTTCAATAGCACCTGTCTTACTATATCACACATTGTTTTCTATTTCTTATGGTCACAGTGATTATCCTACATTCACCCCAATTCATAAAACACAGGAAGCAGTAATTCCTTTTTTCATTGTGATCCTGTTTATGGAGGTGAACCACAGGGTATGCCATTTTTCAGTACTGTGTTCTGAGCAGGCAGCGTGAATTGGTTATTTTCAATGGTCAAAAGAAAGCTCAGAACACATATAGAAAAAATTGATTTGATGTTTGTTGAGTATGAAGATGATATAACTCTAAGAATGTAAAATAGAATTTTATTGCTTACTAAAGCAACATTAGATGCCTGGCAAAAAGGTAATGTTGTTGGTGTTGGACAAGTACTGTGAAGAGCACAAAAGTCACACTTGTACACCACAAAGAGCTAAATAGGACTATTAGCTGTGTTCATTGTCCAATACTGGTTTTGTAACTTGGCTGCATGCTTGTATTAAGAGGTTTTGGTAGTTGTGTTTGTACAGACAAATTGAAGAAATATTCTCACATTTTTTCCTTAGTTAGTTGACCTCAATGAATGTCACCGGTGTAGGGAAAGTATAGATTCCACAGATTAGAGCAGTAAAGATCAAGCTCTGGCTTCCTATAGAAGTGGTTGGATATGAAGCATGTTACCTGACACCTAGTCCATTCACCTTGATATAAGAATAGAAAGCCAGTTATATTTAGCTGGAAGGTGAGCCCAGAATAATATGGAGATGGTTTTAACTGAAGGTGCATTAAAATCATCTGGCTCATACATATTTCCTCCTTCAACTGGCTTTCCAAATGCAGATGATATTTACATTTTCTTTGTCTAACATCAGTCCATAAACATTCGAAACAAGATATATTTTTTGAATATTAATTATTTTGAAACCCACAATAGCCATGGAAAAACACAGCATACTTGATGGGTTAACATATCAGTGAAAGATATTTAAGTATTAGCAGCCTATTTTAATAAAAGACTGCTGGAAAACACAAGGCATGATAATAAATGCTATAGTTAATAAAATAAAGTTAGTCATAGAAGAAGAGCAGATTATGGATTGGATGAAAAGTATTCTGCCCAGGATAAACTTAAATCTTTACACACTTAGACATTATAGATCTTTTTGTGCTTAAAAAGGACATAAAAATTTGTATTTTATATAATTAACTTGGAGGTTAGAGTGTAGGATTTTGGGAGTGAATGGAAGTTACATTAGGGAAATTTACAAGTAAGGTCTGGCAACTCTAGCAGATGGGAATAAAGAGGGAAAAGGTAAGTGTGGCTGAGAGTAAGGAGGAGATGGGGGAGATATATAATAAAGGAAGAGAATGTATTCTGTGGCATACAGAAGAAGAGGGAAAAATAAAAGATGATTCATTGAGAGAGTAGGAGAAATCTAATTCTGCCGATAGTAAAAAAGAACTCAGGAGGGAATTTCATTCGTGGATAGAGGAGTACAGGCATTGGTGAGATATTTAGGAAACATTCATTCAGCTTTTCTGGAATACACTTGGAGCTTTGAAGAGAAATCTAGAAGGTAAATGTAAAATTGAGAGTGAGCCATATAGAGTTGATAGTAATTATTATAGCTAGAAATAAAAAGACTTCCAAGAAAAACTGTAGAAGTTGAGTACAAGTTCTGAGCACAGAACTTTAGCAAATGCTCATACAGCAGAGCAGGAGAAGGAGGAAGGTTAAGAATGGTGACAAGGCAAATTCGATTGGAGGAAAATCAGGACAGAAGTCCATGACAGAGTTGAGAGTTTGAAGGAACAAATAGGTAACATTGTTAAAAGCTAAGTAAAGAATGCAAATAGAATAAAAATATCTCTGGAACTGATGATGGCAGGTTATCAGTAACCTTTAAGTTTTCAAATTCTAAAGATTAGTGAGGGTAGAAATGTTTACAGTCTCAGGAATAAATATTAGGAAATAAATCCAGACAATGGATTCCAATCATTAGAGATGTGAAATGAAGGGGTATTTAGAATGCTATATACACAGTAAAGCTTCCTAAATTGAGATGCCTGTATATTTTCTTTTATAATGAGGGAGAAGGAGTTACTCAGGAACAAGAGGAACCTGAGGATAGTAGAGAGGGAGAGTAAATGAAGAAAGAATATTCTGAAAGAGAGCATGAAGTCAAGACTAAGGATCATCAGTAAACAATGGACACCTGCCTGTTTCGGCACTTCTGTAGCTTTAGTCCTTCAATTCCTTTAATTTCATCAAGGACCCTTCAGCTGGCCAATATCAGGCACATTTCACACATGAAGAAAATGAGGCTTAGAGAAGCTAAGTATCTTGCTCCAAGTCTCAGGAAGCAGAACAAACACATGTGTATCTAAAACAGGAGCTGTTAGACTCTGAAGTTCACACTTTCTCTGAGATGAGACACTGTCACTCATTTGTAATGTGACAAGGACTTAGTGGAGAGACATGTTGGGTGGCTGAGAGGAGCACAGTGAGTCATGGGCTTGCAGGGTCTCCAGTGCGGCAGAGGAGCAAATGATACGGTGAAGATCACTGTGTCTTTTCCCTCATGATAGGTCAGCTCTCCGTGAAAATTAAGGGTAATATTCACCCTAAAAATCCATCATCTAACAACGATGACACTTTATAGGTGTTTGCCAAGTTAATGGAAAAATGTCTAATTCAGATGCAAATCTGGAATCTAGTCAACAATAGTTGACAGGTTTTCTTTTAGTGAAATGTTTTTGAGGTTTTAGAATTTGAATTTGAATGTCTCTTTGAGGAAATCAAACGTATTCTCAGCCTCATTATGATTTTAGAAAAGCACCCTGAGGGGTGCTGGTGGGAGCATCAGGACAGAGCAGTAAAGGAGGAAATGTTGGAGAAGGAAGGTCTTGAGGAGGACATTAGGGAGAGTTTAGAAAAAATGGTTGTGAACTATGAAAGGGATGAGTATTTCTGGAACTACATGTTTTGCTTAATCCTTTATCACATAAGAGAGTTGAAGTATTGACAGTCTTTCCCTTGCGAGTAAGAGACCCTAGTCTGTCTGGACCTGTTTCTGTCCTTAATGCCTCCTGCCTCATTTGTTTCCTACTTTCCCTTATTGTGAACACTGCAATAAAAAGAACGCTTATGAAGAGGCAGACATGGAATAAGAAGGAATTGGTTCTATTTTTTTTTTACAATGTAATTTGTTTTTATTTATGTTCAAAATTGATGCTATAACATTAGTTTTACTGACAAAGCACTTGCTGAGCAAAAGTAAGAAGGGAATCTCCATTCCAATGTACATTCAAGTGAATTCATATCTCCTTCTCTGTCTTGGACAATGAAGAAGGGTACTTAGACATCTGCTTTCTCTTCCTCCCTTGTATCTAAAAAGCCTAAGCATTCATATGCATGTTTATTTTCTTTGGCAGCCATAGCAACAGCAGCAAGTTGAAAAGAGCAAAAAAAAAAAAAAGAGAGAGACCGAAGTACAATTACAATCCCATCCCACAAAAAGGTCAAGGGCTACCTGAAAGACCGGTGGCCCCAGGATCCTCAAAGCATCCAAACCATCCCTATACTCTCAGGTATGTTACAGATTGTCTCCAATTTTATTTGTATCTGAATTTGTGGAGAGGATGCAGGGAAAATCGTGTTTGTTGGCTTACCTGTCCCAACACAGAGATCATGTTACTACTAAAATCCATGATTCTAGAGTTGTATTACCAGTAACAGTTCAAAAAGTACTTTCCCCATATGTTATTGATAGTAATTATTATAGCTAGAAATAAAAAGACTTCCAAGAAAAACTGATGTTAAATGAACATCAGTTCAAAGAAACTTTGATGTTAAATATACTCGTGAGTTATGTAATAATGTCCTCTTGTATATATAATGTTTATCAATAAACCAACATCATGAATCTGCCTAATAAAATAAGGTTTAAACGTAGGTTTCCAGTTCCAGATTTTTCCTCCAGGCCTTGCTTCTTCCAAATCTTTCCTTTTGTAGTAGATTTACACATTTCATCAAGATGAGTCTAGTTGACATGTTTAAGGTAATTTGTTAACTTTCCAACCATATTCTTCTTCACTGCTTATCATTTTACCGCTGGTTGTCATTTGCAATTTTCTCCTTGCCCTGGAATCTGAAGTAAGTTGGTGAAGATGTAGAATTCCTAATGTTGCAATGCATTATTTCCAGGATTTAACTGGCTTCCCTGATATCAAATTGTGTCTTGTAAAGGCCATAGTTTGTCTCTCTGATGCAAAGTAAATATAATGCATGTTGGGTCAAGACTCTCATTTTGGCCAATAAATGATCTAAAATACCTGCCTAGGGCTGGCTGGCATGTACAGAATGCATTCAAACAAGTAATTCTTATAGTTATTCAACAGCTTCTGTTTTTTTCTGACTCCCTTCACAGATTAATAATCCTTGAATATTTTAATGGGAACAGATAACCAGACTTGGGTGAGTGAATTTATTCTCCTCGGCCTGTCCAGTGACTGGGACACTCGGGTCTCCCTGTTTGTCCTGTTCTTGGTCATGTATGTGGTGACCGTGCTGGGGAACTGTCTCATTGTCCTTCTGATCAGACTGGACAGCCGACTCCACACTCCCATGTATTTCTTTCTCACCAACCTCTCCCTTGTCGATGTCTCCTATGCCACAAGTGTAGTCCCTCAGCTGCTGGCACATTTTCTTGCAGAACATAAAGCCATCCCATTCCAGAGCTGTGCAGCCCAGTTATTTTTCTCCCTGGCCTTGGGTGGGATTGAGTTTGTTCTCCTGGCGGTGATGGCCTATGACCGCTATGTGGCTGTGTGTGATGCCCTGCGATACTCGGCCATCATGCATGGAGGGCTGTGTGCTAGGTTGGCCATCACATCCTGGGTCAGTGGCTTCATCAGCTCTCCTGTGCAGACTGCTATCACCTTTCAGCTGCCCATGTGCAGAAACAAGTTTATTGATCACATATCCTGTGAACTCCTAGCTGTGGTCAGGCTGGCTTGTGTGGACACCTCCTCCAATGAGGTCACCATCATGGTGTCTAGCATTGTTCTTCTGATGACACCCTTCTGCCTGGTTCTTTTGTCCTACATCCAGATCATCTCCACCATCCTAAAGATCCAGTCCAGAGAAGGAAGAAAGAAAGCTTTCCACACGTGTGCCTCTCACCTCACAGTGGTTGCCCTGTGCTATGGTGTGGCCATTTTCACTTACATCCAGCCCCACTCCAGTCCCTCTGTCCTTCAGGAGAAGTTGTTCTCTGTCTTTTATGCCATTTTAACACCAATGCTGAACCCCATGATTTACAGCCTAAGGAATAAAGAGGTGAAGGGGGCCTGGCAGAAACTATTATGGAAATTCTCTGGGTTAACATCAAAGCTGGCAACTTGACTCATGAGTATGACTTAGAGAAAACAGCTTTGCCTCAGTGTTCTCCACCCAGCTGAGATCTGACAGGTGTAAACTACATTGCCCTGGCAACCAGGAAGGAGATGACGTAGCATGTACTGTGGATGTTATGGAGGAGGGGGAGTGGTTCAATTGGATGGGGTGTGGGACGTGGGGTTATATTTATGAACAGTGGAGTTAGATACTGCTGTTATAAAACCTCCCACACTTCTTCCACCTCCACTCTTACAGCCTGACAATCGTTGAAAAAAAATTACTACTTACTGTTTTGATTTGTCATATCGTTTGTAATGATAGACCTACTCATGGATCTTACCTTGGACCACTGGTACTTACACATCCACATTTTATAAAAGGTTATGGGGCTTCCATTGAAAACAAAATGCATTTTTACATTTGAAGACTCACTTTAAATAATTTGTAGTGTATGTCATCACATGCAGTAATTGTGTGAGTCAACATTCTGAGAAAAGTGTTATTGTCAAGGCTGACTAAAATGTTTTTGTGCAGGACCTACAAAAGGTGAACATAATGTCTTCTCCTGAGTGCTGGAGCTAATTCAGTGAAAAAATATCAACTCAAGGTCTTGTTTCACCTCGATAGGGTGACAGTCAATGGTTGTTTGTACTGAAGACAATTATTGACCAAGAAAAGTTAAGCTTCAGGTGCTTCTTGACAGTATTCAAACAGTTTGAGAAGGATTTTACTGCATATATAGGTATATCGTTGAAAATATTAAAAATGATCAATCTCTGAAAAATCTGTAAGCTCTTTCTCAGAATCTTCAGAAACACACAAAAAAGCACACAAATTATGAGATACTGTGAAAAATGTCAAAGACATAGTTAATTTAAGGAAAAACTCTTCAGCCAAAGTCAATGAAGGGTAAGATAATTTAATATGAAGTTTGGAACGTCAAGGAAGGTCAGTCAACTATGCAAATGTTACCCTCAAGTCTTCACATTGAGAACTTCTCTTGCCACCTCCGTCTTCGTCACCTTCACACACACAACAGAGCCATAGGTGAATTTTTGTAAATCTTGTAACCTGGGCTTGTCTGAGAATGGACTTCCCTTTGAAAAGGAGCATAACTGATGTAAAAGGAGAAGACATAATTGAAAAAGTGGAAAGAAAAGAAAGAATATGATCATAGCTGCTCTTCCTACTCCCTTGAAGGAGTCAGTCTTTTCTTCCTTTTGTGTCTTCTTTAAGTCAGTTGATTTGCAGTTCTTACATTTGTCAACACATCATCATAGAATCTAAGAGTTTTTACAGTGTTGAAGGCATATAACTCAAAGCCCATTTGACATCTGAATTTTATATTAATAGTAATGCAATCTTAAATTTTGCAAGATAGGCAGGCATCCTAAAAGATGACAATGCTGGCAAATTAAATTTTTATTTTAAGTATTATCAGTGGAGTATCTATTCTGTGTCAGTGTCAATAAATGGTTGTTGCACACAATAGTCAATATGATACCATCATAACAAGGATAATCTCACATAGTAGGGAGGACAGATGATGAAACAATGATAATGCATTGTGGTAAGTGTTACAGTGAAGGGGAGCCCACTGGAAATGATTGCAGAAGGCTTCCTATAAAAGGACCCTTGGATTGAGACCAGAAATGTAAGAACAAGTTATCCAGAAGACAAGAAACCCAAAAAAGAAACAACCTGTACAAAGTTGTAGAGATGTGAGCAAGCATGAAAGTCCAAAAAATGTTGGAAGTTCAATTTCAGGGCAGAGAAGAGTGAGAGAGTAGTGAGGACGAAGCAGACGGGTTAGACACGGTCAGATCCTGGAAGGCGTCGAATGTCTAAGTATCTTTTAACTTTATTCTAATAGAAAACAATAGTCCGTCAAAAATTTTTAGAAGGAGTATAGATTGAAAACAATTACATTTTAAAAGTATCACTCTGGCAAATGAGATAGTGGAAGAAAAGATTAGAGGCAAGATGACCAGCCTGTCTGCTGGGTCTGCTTCAGTAATACTCTTGAGACATTCGAGACATCTGAATTAAGTTAGATGCAATTGGAAGGAGACAAGTAAAGTGGTGTCATTTAAAAGTGATGTCAGCTAAAACACTTCATCTCCCAGATTGGAAATGCCATCTGAATATCATTCCTCTTCTAAAATGTGAGGATGCTGTCTGAACATTCTGTAAATTGTGTAGTAAACTGGAAAATTCACCATCGTGAACATGCTCTATATGAAATGGTATGGGAAAGAGATAAGAAGAAAGTAATCAAAAATACAAACATACACATAATACATCAAGGAGGAAAATACGTGAAGATGCTATATCTTCATTTCTGCCAGCGGTCGTGTGGTCACGGTGTTCGTGACATTTCTCCATCAACCATCACACAATCCTTTGCCTTCAAACAACTCCTAAGCATGTTGGGGTTCTTCCTGGAAGGGTTATCCAAGTCTTGATATCTCAGGAAGCAGAAATGCTGAGAGTGGGCATTAGGTATGTAGAAATAGACTACTATAGTCTCATATTCTGTATTAGTCAGGTTTCTTTAGAGAGACAAGACTAATAGGATAGATGAATATATGAAAAGGAGTTTATTAAGGAGTATTGACTCACACGATCAAAAGGTAAAGTACCACAATAGGCCTTCTGTAAGCTGAGGAGCACAGAAGCCAGTTGGAGTTCCAAAACCTCAAAAGTAGGGAAGCCAACAGTGCAGCCCTCAGTCTGTGGCCAAAGGCCCGAGAGCCCCTGGTCAACCACTGGTGTAGGTCCAAGAGTCCGAAAGCTGAAGAAATTGGAGTGGAGTCTGATGTTTAAGGTCAGGAAGCATCCAGCACAGGAGAAAGATAGAGGCCAGAAGACTCAGGCAATCTAGTCCTTCCATGTTCCTCTGCCTGCTTTTATCCTAGCCATGCTGGCAGCTGATTAGATGGTGCCTACCCAGATTGAGGATGGGCCTGCCTCTCCTAGTCCACTGACTCAGATGTTAATCTCCTTTGGCATCACCTCCATAGACACACCCAGGAACAATACTTTGTAACCTTCAATCCAATCAAGTTGATGGTCAATATTAACCATCATATATTCCATCTATTAAATTTCAATTTTTATCTTTTTTATTTGATAGAGTTTTTAATTTCAAGGCTGCACTTTCTCGGTAACTTTAATCTTCATAAATTAAATTAGTTGGATCACCTTAAGACTACACACACTTCTAATTCATAGCTGCTTGTGAAGGACATTCCCAATAGAAGGCATGAACATTGTCTTGATACAGGAATACAAAATAAGATGCTATTCTAAACTTTATTGTTTATTTAGCCATTAAATAGAAAAAATTTAAAAAGACACTGAAAAGTATTTGAAAATAAAATATTTTTCATTAGTTAATAACCATAAAAACACCACTGAAGGTTTTCCTTAAAAATCTAATACATATAAAAATTACAGTTTGTTCAAATAAGAATCTAAATAAGACCCATATATTCCAATTGTCTACTATGCCTCTGAGAATTCTTTTACTCTATCAATTAATAAATTTATAGTAAATTAGTAACCTATAAATTCTACTTTTTTACTGTTGGAATTATTTTTTAAATAAAACTGTATCATTTGTTCCTGTTGGATTTCTCATACAGTCTAGATTTTTTGATGACATCCCTATAGTGTAATTTTACATGTTATTTTATTTCTGTATCTCCTGTTTAATCCAGAGGTTTCATCAGGTTTATTTTTTTTTATGACAATGGTATTTCATAGATGGTCACATGTACTTCTAGCAAGAAGCACACAATGTTTGTAGCAAGAAACACAATGTTCCTTTTTTTCTGGGGATTATTACAACTATTATATTGCATAGGTCAGGAGTTTTCAAAAGTGCCAAATATCTATTGACATTTTGGGCTGAATAATTATTTGTTATGGGGGCTATTTTGTGCATGGTCAACATTCCTAACATCTACCTACTAGATGGCCCTAGTACTCCCTCCCAACTAGGCAATGCCAATATTGCCCCTGATAGAGAAGTACTGACCTAGCTCTATTAATTTTTTAGGGGTTTCAAGGTGGTGAGAGTCTATCATCCTTTTCTCTTTATTATCTAAAATACATTTATAGAGAGAAACTTCCACCTCATCACTCTTTCATCCTCCTGAGGTATAGTTGGTATGAGAAAGGCAGAATAAATTTTTTAATTTTTCCCCTTTCGTTGCCACTTTTTAATACAACAAATGAGGTGAGGTTTTTTTCATTATAGTTATGAACTCACTGATGTGCATTTATTTGATGTGTCTTAATCCACAGCAGTTATTGTCTTTATTGATGTTCAAACTGTCCCATATTTGGTGAACGTGAGCCTATTTTAGTTTCTTCTTCCTGTTGTAAAAGTAGGAATTCCACAAGTTCCACCTTATCTTACAAAGTCCCACAAACTTTGTGACTCAAAACATTACAAAATTATTATCTTAACATTACAAAGGTCAGAGTCTGATACGGGTTCTACTAGGGCAAAATCAAGCTGTTGACAGAGCTGCGTTTCTCCCTGGAGACTCTGGGGAACATTCCATTTCTTGCTTTCTGCTTTCTGAGGTGACTTCCACTCCTTGGTTCCTGGCTCCTCCTTCCACAAGGCCAACAGCACAGCAAACCTTTCTGTGACTCTGATCCTCCACTCCATTCTGTCCTCCATATGATGACAGAGAAATGATCCTCTGTCATCACATATCTTTCTTCTGACCCTGATCCTCTTGCCTTGTTCTTTACAAGAAACTTGTGATTACATTAGGGCCACCCAGATGGTCCAGGACAATACCCCCATTTAAAAATCCTTCATTTAAATGCATCTGCAAGGCCCTTTTGTCATGTACAATAGCATATTCACAGGATATTCCATATTCACAGGATATTCCATATTCACACAGGAACCTTAGTGTGCTACTATTTGCTACCCCTCATTTTTGTACTTTTATTTTCAAAGATTTTACATTAACATAAGCTATGAATACAAATAATTGCTATGCTCTTTCAGCTTTTGCTGTGCAGAAGCTCTTTAGTTTAATTAGGTCAATTATCCTGTAGTCTGTTAAATATTTAAAAGTGAATTTTTTTTTTACTTTGTTATTCTTTTTTTTTATTATACTTTAAGTTTTAGGGTACATGTGCACAATGTGCAGGTTAGTTACATATGTATACATGTGCCATGCTGGTGTGCTGCACCCATTAACTCATCATTTAGCATTAGGTATATCCCCTAATGCTATCCCTCCCCCCTCCTCCCACCCCACAACAGTCCCCAGAGTGTGATGTTCCCCTTCCTGTGTCCATGTGTTCTCATTGTTCAATTCCCACCTATGAGTGAGAACATGCGGTGTTTGGTTTTTTGTCCTTGCGATAGTTTACGGAGAATGATGATTTCCGATTTCATCCATGTCTCTACAAAGGACATGAACTCATCATTTTTTATGGCTGCATAGTATTCCATGGTGTATATGTGCCACATTTCCTTAATCCAGTCTATCATTGTTGGACATTTGGGTTGGTTCTAAGTCTTTGCTATTGTGAATAGTGCCTCAATAAACATACGTGTGCATGTGTCTTTATAGCAGCATGATTTATAGTCCTTTGGATATATACCCAGTAATGGGATGGCTGGGTCAAATGGTATTTCAGTTCTAGATCCCTGAGGAATTGCCACACTGACTTCCACAATGGTTGAACTAGTTTACAGTCCCACCAACAGTGTAAAAGTGTTCCTATTTCTCCATATCCTCTCCAGTACCTGTTGCTGACACCTTTATCTTAGAAAATAAATTAGGCTACATCTCCTTCTTAGAACAAAATCCAAACTCTTCCTGTGCGGAGCCTGTTATGGTCCAGCTGCTCTTCCCTCCCCATTTGCACCTGCATCCTGTCTCCCTTCTTTCACTGCATGTGTTCATCCATCAAGGGTTGGGAGAAAACAGATAAATCTCTATAAAAAGAGAATGTATTTTTCTACAAGTCATATGTATTGATGGAGAAAATGATTCTAGACCTACAAGATATTTGTGTGTGTGAAATCTTGGACTTAATCTAATTTATTTATACATATTGCTTTTCAATGGAAATTTTGAATTCTATAGATTACTGTCATCAATGACTCGGCTAAAAATTGTGTAAATTTTCAAAAATAAAGCTGTTTTGATCCCCTACTTTTCAAAAGAAGAAAACCTGCTTTCGCAGTGGGCAAAAAGGGCAGTGCTGTCTTGGGAAGTTAGACTGTAAGCTTCTTGAGAGCAAGGAGGATGCTCCTTGTCGTCACAGTGCCTAACAATGCTGTTAAATTCATGCTCATTGTATAATTTATTGATGGACATGTTCTTTGCTATTTTAAGAGTTGCCTTTTATGAAGTATGTAAAGATCATACATGTTAGAATTTAGGATATTAGAAAATAAGGCTTTTTAAAATCTCCAGTGCAGAGATAATTGGTTAATAATACTCCTCAGTATATGGAATAACACGAGGGCCCTCTTACTAATTTTTGAAAATTTATTACAGTCATATATTGCTTAACAACAGAGACATGCTAGGAGAAATGTGTCATTAGGCGATTTTGTCATTAGGCAAACACCATAGAGTGTAGGTACACAAACCTAGATGGTGTAGTCTACTACACACCTAGGCTAGATGGTATAGCCTGTTCTCCTAGTTTACAAACCTGTACAGCATGATAGTGTACTGAATACCGTAGGCAATTTTAACACAGTGGTAAATATTTGTGTTTCCAAATATATCTAAACATAGAAAAGATAATGTGTTGCTATGACGTTCCAATAGCTGTGAAGTCACTAGGCAATAAGAACTTTTCAGCTCCATTATAATTTTATGGGACCACCATAGTATATGAGGTCAGTCATTGAGCAAAACATTGTTATGCTGCATATTGCATTAATTCTCTTTTATCTTATTCGTAATGTCCATTTCTTCCTGGTCTTTTGGCCAACTATTCTAATTTGTTTAATGCAATAAAATATGTTTGAGAGTGCATTTATGCATTTTTAAAAAAATGCATTATGTTGTTATCTGTTTGATTCTATGTATTCATTTTCTCCATTCAACACTATATTTTTTGGGTTTTTTTTTTTTGTTGTTGTTGTTGTTGTTTGTTTGTTTGAGATGGAGTCTCACTCTATTGCCCAGGCTGGAGTGCAGTGGCGTGATCTCAGCTCACTGCAACCTCTGCCTCCCGGGTTCAAGCAATTCTCCCCCTCAACCTCCTGAGTAGCTGGGACTACAGGCGCATGCTGCCTTGCCCGGCTAATTTTTTGTATTTTACTAGAGACGGGGTTTCACCGTGTTGCCCAGGCTGGTTGTGAACTCCTGAGCTCAGACAATCCTCCCGCCTCAGCCTCCCAAAGTGCTGGGATTACAGGTGTGAGCCACTGCGCCCAGCCTCAACACTATAAAGATTCATACATATTGCTAGTCTACAATTTCTAATTGTTCACAATGAGCAATTATGAATCCATGGTGTTCACAATATTCTAGCTTTCATTCCCGGTAGCTAAATATCCAATTCCCCAGCACCTTGGGATTCATATCATGACACAGGCTCACTTAAAGACCTGTGTGAAAATTTCTTTGGTGTATTTACAGAGGAACCGAGTTGCTAGGTCATAGTGATCCCCAGAATGGCTTTATAACTCTATACTCCTACTTCAGTGCACAATCTTTCCTTATGTACAACTTCAACAACACTTGGCATGTTTTGATTTTTTTTTTAGCTAAAAGATAAAATTGTTTTATGTTCCATTACTCTGAAAAGTAATCAGACACGGAGTTTTTTTCTCATGTTTTTCTCATGCTGAGTTCCTGATTCGCACCCATTCTCACTCTGTATCATTCTGTTCATGCCTTCCTTGTCTCAGTTCATGGTAACTTCGTCATTGCAGTGATGAGTCCATTCACCACTCCTTTTTCTCATACGGGACTCAAATCTGCAAAAATATCCTGTTGCCCCTACCTTCAAAATATGTGCGGAATATGATCACTTCTCACCTCTGCAGTCACTCCCTGGTGTGAAACACCACCATCTCCCACTTGGGTTACTTCAGTAGAACAAACTTCTCTGCTTCACTCTTGTGTCCCAGCAGTCAGAGGGAACCCTTTAAAATATAACTCAGCTTTGGGAGGCCGAGGCGGGTGGATCACGAGGTCAGGAGATCGAGACCATTCTGGCTAACATGGTGAAACCCCGTCTCTACTAAAAAATACAAAAAATTAGCCGGGCGTGGTGGCGGTGCCTGTAGTCCCAGCTACTTGGGAGGCTAAGGCAGGAAAATGGCGTGAACCTAGGAGGCGGAGCTTGCAGTGAGCCAAGATCCCGGCACTGCACTCCAGCCTGGGCGACAGAGTGATGCTCCGTCTCAAAAAAAAAAAAAATATATATATATATATATATGTGTGTGTGTGTGTGTGTGTGTGTGTGTACATATATACGTGTATATATACACGTATATATATATACGTATATATATACACGTATATATATATACGTATATATATACACGTATATATATATACGTATATATATGTATATATGTATATGAGTATGTATATGTGTGTGTGTGTGTGTGTGTGTGTGTGTGTGTATGTATATATATATATATATATATATATATATATATATATATATATATATATATATATAACTCAGGCCATGTCATTACCCTGCTCACACCCTGCATTTACTAAAAATAAAATCCAAAGTCTTTCTGTGGAGATGGGCCTGTTTTCTATCTAGACTCTTTTCCTGGGATGCTCTTTCCTTAGATAGCCACTTCCTCACCTCTGTCAATTTTTCATTCAACCATCATCTCTTCAAGGAGATTTACATGACTGACCTATTTGTTACAACAAACTTCCTTCCTGACCCATACTCCCACTCCTTCTCCCCTTGATTTATTTTCCAAAGAACTTATCTTTTCTAGCATTCTTTGCAATGTATGCATTTTTAAATATAGGTTTCCCTTCACTGCCCCATATATAAGCCCCTTGAAGGCAGGGCTCTTTGTTTTTTAAACTAGTATATGCCAAATATCTAAAATAGTGCCTGTCTTATAGAAGGCACAAAGTAAATATTTTCTGAGCGAGTGAAGCAAACTGTTAGCTATTTGGGTTTTTATTGTTGTACACTGCATGTTCATTTTCTTTGCCCATTTTTCCTTTGGGTTTTTTGCCATTTCTTTACTGATGGATATATTATAGGTGTTAGCCCTGTTGTGTCATACCTACTGCAAATACATACTTCTAATCTGCAATCCCTCTGTTCACTTTATCCATAGAGTCCTTTGTTGAACAGAAGGTCTTCATTTTGAGGCAATCAAATGCATCACTTTTTTATTCTGTGATTTGTGCTTTGGAAGTTTGTTTTTCTAAAAAAATAAAATCCTGCATGTAGGTCACAAAATACTATATTTTTTATTTAATTAGGTTTTTAGTTTTACCTACTATAATATTTCTTTAGTATATCTGACATTCACTTTTAAATATTTGTTAAATATAGATCCAGTGTTATGTTTTCCAGTGTTCCATTTATTAGACAATCAATTCTTTACTCATTCATTTGTAGTAATTTTAGTGTGTATTAAGTTTACCTATGTCTGGGTCTGTCTTTGAACTCTCTATTCATTCCTGTTTGTTATTTCATCTGTTCTTACACCATGCAATTCTAGCATTCTATTTTTTAAATTTAATAAGTCTTCCTACAGGGTATGTAAGATATCAAATAACATGAGCATATCCATTTTATTTGGTCTTTTTTCAAAGTTAATTCTGCTATTTATAGAGAGATTTATTTCTTATAAAATTTTGACTAATTTTAGTCTGAAGTTTCCCAAAAATTTCACCTGAAATTTTAATTGTTTATAGATTACTTTTGGAGAACTGATCTTTTAATATTAAATTGTCCAAGACAAAGCATGAAATGTCATTACAGTTATTCAGAAACTCTTTAATGTCCTATTTATAGTTTTAATACTTTCTCCATATTTGTTCAACAAATATTTGTTAAATATATTTTACATGCTGGACACCTTTCTAGGCAAATGAAAATATCTGTCCTCATGGAGTTTACTTTCAACTTAAGGGAAACAGACAATAAAAATAAGAAATAAGATACATGTTATGTTGGATGGTGTTAATTGCTAGGAAGAAAAATAATAAGGAAGGTAGATTAAAAATACTGGCCGGGAGTGGTGGCTCACGCCTGTAATCCCAGCACTTTGGGAGGCCGAGGCGGGTGGATCCCCTGAGGTCAGGGGTTCAAGACCAGCCTGACCAACATGATGAAACCCCATCTCCAATAAAACTACAAAAATTAGGCAGGCGTGGTGGTGCACTCCTGTAATCCCAGCTACTCAGGAGGCTCAGGGAGGAGAATAGCTTGAACCTGGGAGGTGGAGGTTGCAGTGAGCCAAGATCATGCCACTGCACTCCAGCCTGCACAACTGGAGTGAGATTCCGAAAGAAAGAAAGAAAAAGAAGGAAAGAGAAAGAAAGAAAGAAAGAAAGAAAGAAAGAAAGAAAGAAAGAAAGAAAGAAAGAAAGAAAGAAAGAAAGAGAAAGAGAAAGAAAGAAAGAAAGAGAAAGAGAGAGAGAAAGAGAGAGGGAGGGAAGGAGGGAGGGAGAGAGAAAGAGAGAGAGAAAGAAGGAAATAAATAAATAAATAAATGAATGAATATTGGGAGGACTGAAAGTTCTGGCAAAGAGTGCCATAGAAATCATGTATATTCTCTGTTAAAAAATTCCTACTTTATACAATTCCAACTTTATAATTTGTGTTGCTGTTATAAGTGACATTTTATTTTATTTTTCTAGTTGGTTATTGCTGGTGTACAGAAATTCCATTGATTTCTTTCTTTCTTTTTTTAAAGAGACAAAATCTGACCTTCTCCCCCAGGCTAGAGTGCAGTGGTGAAATCATAGCTCACTATAGCCTCAAACTCCTGGGCTCAAACCATACTCCTTGCTCAGCCTTCCAAGTAGCTGGGACTACACGTGTGCATCACCAATCATTGCTAAATTTTTTATTTTTTGTAGAAATAGGGTCTTTCTAGGTTGTCCAGGTTGGTCTTGAACTCTTAGTCTCAAGCAATCCTCCTGCCTTGGCCGCCCAAAGTGCTGAAATTACAGTTGTAGTCATTGATATCTCTGAGGTGGTCCTGTGTCTAGTTCTCTTATTAAGGCTAATAGATTGTTACAAAAATTTTCCTAGATATATAATCTTATCATCTGTAAATAATGATGGTTTTGCTTATAGTCTTTGTAAATCTTAATTATTTTCTTTTCCTATAGCATAGGCCAGGACCTCTAGTATCCTGTCTAATTGTAAGCTGTGAGAATAGGTATCTTTTCTTATTTCTGATTTAAAGAAATGCATCCAGAGAGTCTCCATCCAGTACACTGCTGTGGATTTGGAATATTTAACCTTTACCAAGTTAAGGAAGTTCCCTTCTAGTTCTATTTTTAAATGATTTTTTAAATCGATGGATAAATACTTCATCAAATGGTTTTTAATCCATTTATTGAAATAATCATATACATTTTCCAGTTTCAGTCTATTAAGTAGTTCATCATATTAGTCAATTATTTTATGGTGAGCTATCCCTGCATCCCTTGGGAAAACCCATATTTTATTATGATACATTATTGTTTAAAAATTATTAGATTGCTCTAGCTAATATTTTATAATATTATATTATATCATTATATAATATTTATTATATTTATATTATATGATATTTATTATATTTATATTGTGTATAAGCCCTAGTGGGCTTATAATCCCCTTGCCTAGCCACATTCTTATTGCTTTATAGAATAAATACTATACATGCTCATAGAACGAGATTAGCAGACATATGAATCAGATAGGGCAGAGATAATCCCAAGTAAAGACCAACCTGTAAAGCACAGAACTTACAACAATAAATATTTATTTTCCTTCTCAAGGATCTTCTGCATGTTAGCTGTCCAAACAGTCAAGTAGTCTCACCTAGGCTATAAAGAAGGTTGTGAAATGCCATGTATTGCATTAAAACTTGGAAGAAAAAAGTGGAAATTGGATATTGATGGACAGAAGACAGTTGATATGATTTGTATATCTTTAAAAGATCCAAGATATTCAATTACCAGATTAATAGAAATCATGAGAGCTCAGCAAGGAGGTTAGCATTTCTATACTCAAGCCACAACTATAAAAATAATAGAAACTCTCCTGTGTACAATAACAACATAAACCATGAAAGAATAAATATGAAATAAATCTAATGATACACATGTAGGACATTTAGTGAGAAAGCTCTAATGATTTTTTAAAAGATATTTTTAAAAGTCCTAAAATAAATGAAGTGACAGCTACTTCTGGCAAAAAAGCAATTAATATCACAAAAGTCAAATTTTCTCAGAGTATGTGAATTCAAGGAAATAGCAATCCAAATCTAGAAGACACTGTTAAAAATGGTACTTGACAGATTGATTTAAAACCTCACATGAAAGAAAAGCCATCAAGCAAGAGTAATTAAAAGATTTTTGAGAAAGAAGTGAAATAAAGTGAGAAAGTACCTGTCTTACACCCTATCAAAGCATATCATGAAGTAACTACAATTAAAACTATGGTATTGGTGTAGAGAAAGACAAATGCATTAGTGAATCAAGATGCAGTCCAAAAAGAAACTTTCACATGTGGGAATCTAATATATCATATATTCATAATTTCAAATAAATTTAGGAAAATATATACTACAAAAAATGATGTTGTCACAAGTGTCTATACTAAAAGGCCAAAGAAATGTCATTTTTTTGCTTATACACCATAGGAAAAAATTAATTCGTAGATCTGAAGGTGAGGAAGTGTATTTTACAAATGAGTTTCTATTTGTTTCCTCCTAGAACTGTATAAATAACGGTAAAAAGAATAAGAAATTAGATAAGAAAGCCACAAAGTAAAGAAGACAGTAAGTAAGAAAAAAAAATATAATGAGAGATATCAGCAACATTTCAGGAGCTAGAAAGCAAACTTCTTCTTTTCCCTGGCCCTGCACTCCTTATCTCTTTTCTTTTTAAGATCCAGAGCTACCTCGGGCTCTAATGAATTTCTCTCTCCAACTCCAGCACTCACAGGGGTGGGGAGCTCTGTTTAAGCAGATTGTTCATTGTGCTTAGAAAGTGGTTCTCAGACCACTGGCCAGAAAAAGATACCATTGTGTCAGCTTCAGAACAAGCCAGGGAGAAGAAATTATAAGCTGTCTTTCCTAGGGCTATGCCAGGTAGCTGAGCAGACAGTAAGAACAGCCTGCGGCTTTCATATTAACAATGCACACACGGAAATCTCCACTCTCACCCTTGGGTAAGGGGAGATAGAGAAATGCATTGCAATTCTACAGGTTTTGCTGCACAATGCTTAGTATCCTCACTAAAGATCTATTATTAATGCTTCTGGGAAGTAAAATTTCTAAGTTAAAAACCAGGATAAGGTCTGTCTTCCTCCAAGTAAAGACAAGACAAAAGTTCTAAGAAGGTTACCGAAGGTTGTGGTAGAATTCCAAACCCGGAGAGCAAGCAGCCCACTATAAAGCAACATCTCACTGGGGACTGGTATAAAAAAGTTTCACTGCCCATGCTCAGACCAGATTATCCACACAGAGCATTCCAATGGTCTCCTAAGTTGCCTGGACCAGGAGCTATTGCTCAAACAGAAGTTGAAATGGGCGAATTGGAATGAGGAAGTAGAGATTTAATCACATTTACAAGCCCATAAAGTGGGATCAAAGTTCTCTCCATCCAAAGGTGGCATCACTGAAGACTCAAACGTAACCCTGTTGGGAAATTAAAGTTTGGTGAGCCCCTTCCCATGCTCCAGGGACAAGGAGATAAAACTTGTATTTGCAAAGTTGAATGTAGGTTAGGATATTAGGTGCATACATGACCATACAGAGGGGGAGGGAAAATAAAAGAAGTCAAATAAACAAAATATAATTGGCCGCCTGAGATTTCATCCCTAAAGTTAGAGAAAGTTATCTGTTCCAACTGCACTTTCTTCAAATTCCACGACTTTCCCAGCCCTGCCATCCTTCCAAGGTACAGGATGGCGTTCTTCACTCTCCACAGGTGAGTCAGGAATTTTCCTTGATTCTTCAACATTTAATTGTCAACACAAATGATGAAACCAGGTTTCTGTAATCCCTGGCCTTCTCCCATAGTCTTCAGGCCTGAGGGTATGGTGGCTTGATAAAGTTGTCAACCAGTGGAAATCTGTCCTAAGAAAATGTGTTCTGGGTATTCAAATTAGGAAGCCAGAACTTTTCAAGTGATTTAAGGGTTCTCAACCTTTAGGATGGGGCTAAGCTTCCTAAGGAGTGAGCACCAGGTCCTTTTTCCTTTATGACCATTAATTCTTTCTTAGAGAAGAGTTAGACTTTTCACTTTCTCCCATAGATAGCTTACAATAAGTTTCTTCATTTATTGATTCTTATTTACATTTCAGTATCCACTTCCCTTTCCCCATTTTCTCATTTTGTATAATTTTCTCTCTCAGGTATTTATCCATCTATTTATTTATTTATTTATTTAAATTTGGGATAATTTTTTTGAGAAAGGCTTTTAATGTATATATATATATATATCACAGTACATGAAGATTTTTTTAAATTGAGATGAAATTTACACAACATAAAATTAACAACATTAAAGTGTACAACTCAGAGACATTTAGTTCATTCACAGTATTGAGGTTCCATGTTTGTATGTGTACAGGCAAGGAGGCATGAAAAGTAATGTGTGGAAAGCTTGAGCATGTGAGTGTGTCTGTATGTGGAATCCAAAGGGGGCGACATGGAGAGCATTCTTGTGATTATGCAAAGAACCCCTGGTTCTTTCCTCCCTCTACAGGGATTTTGAGGTAACCATGTGGCCACTCAGCATTATACCTCTGCCTTTGGCATGATTAGCAAGTAACCTGGAAACACAGCCCCCTTTTTATTCTAGTGTGACTGTAACTACACAAATAGTGGGAGATATGTTGGCATGATCTATAAGCTCTCACCACTACAAAGAATAGATTCTAAGTTCCCGATGGGAAACAGCTAAGAAGGAACAAATCTTTCCAACTGGGTAAGACTCATCTCTTCAGTACAGGATCTCTTATCAGTCTTCAACTTTTTCTTGTTTTACCTACACAAAACTATGCTGAAGTTCAAATTTTCTTCTGAAGGCTAATTTTTAAATATAAGTACTCACCTTTATCTACTTCTGATATTAGCTCATTTGTAATTAACAAGTTAAAATTGTATACATTTATGTGTACAACATGATGTATTTATGGTGTACATGTTTTGATACCTGTATACATTGTGGAATGGATAAGCCAAGCTAATTAACATATGAATTGCCTCACGTGCTTATTATTCTTTTGTGGTGAGAATACTTAAAATCTACTCTGTTAGCAATTTTCAATTATATCATGTATTGTTATTAATTATAGTCACCATGATGTATAATAGAGCTCTTGAATGTATTCCTCCTGCCTAATTGAAATTTTGTATTATTTGACAAACAGCTCCATCGTATTCCCATTATTTTCCATAATCAGAGCTCTTTAATTTTTATTAGAGGGGAAAAACAGTCTCTCCAACATGTACCCACTGTAAGCTGTTGTGCTCATTACTGTATCAGACATAAAGCATGATTACCTTTTCAAATGTGTAAAAGAGGCTAGTTAATCATATACAACAAAAAGAATCCCTAAATGAGGAAGATGCTGGTGTTTCTCCTCTTTGACCTGTTCCCCATGAGGCTAGAAAGCCAAATGTCACCTTCATGGGCAAGTGGGGATAAGCGTACTCCGGTGCACTGTGACTCTTGGAATAGTCAGTCTCTGAACTGAATGAGATCAAAAGTAGAAACTCAATTAGTCCTCTTGATTCATCTGATTTTTACATTCATTTACTCCTTGGCCTTTAAACCAGGCTTATCCAACCCATGGTCCATGGGCTACATGGATGGCTTTGAATGTGGCCCAACACAAATTCATAAACTTTCATAAAATATTATGAGATCATCTTTGCAATTTTCTTTTTAGCTCATCAGCTATCATCATTGTTAGTGTATTTTATGTGTGGCCCAAGACAATTCTTCTTCCTTTGAGGCCCAGGGAAGCAAAAAGATTGGACACCCTGCTCTAAACAGTGACTATCATTGTGCATGACACAAGGCCATGCTATAGATAGGAGTGGCACAATGGATGCACACCAGATTCACAGATAATCCTTGGTTTCCTACTGACTCCCACTTTCTAGGCATATCACCTCCTTTTCTCACCTGTAAAATATAGACAACAAGCAAAAGTTTGAAATGATGTTGTGATTACACTATATTATATTATGTGAATAGATGTATATTTAGCATAATGACTGGCACAGAGTATGTTCTCAGAAAACAGTAAGTATAAGGTTATCCCAATGTCATATAGAGATCAATGCACTCACAACTTAATTATTCTCCTAATATTCTTTCCACCCCATGAACTTTGGACTTTGCCTAGCCAAGAGTGCTTCAGGAGCTTGCTTGTTTTCTTCCCACCACTTTCCACAAAAATAGTAGACAAATTGAAGAAAATTTTCTGAAACCAAATCCAATCATTCAATGATTTACTGGGCAATTGAGTTGGGTAAGTTATTTGAAACGATTTTACGAAGAAACTGGTTTTGCTTTGACTTTAATGCCTGTCACCTTAAAAAATATCAAATATATTTTTTGTGGGGAAAAAACCCAAATCGACTACATTGTTTCTGAGCAAAAACAACATGGCTTGAAGTATAAATACTCTCCTTTTGCATAGGTTTTTGGAGAAAGGTAGAAAAATACATTTTGTTTGTTCAATGTTTGTTCACTTTTTTTCTTTAAGCCTTTGTTATAGAAGTGTCAAGTATAAACGAATCCAACCTTAACCATAATTTCCACATGGATGCCACCTGTGTGCACGTCATCCCCAATGATAGTATCTGGAAAACTTGCTGCATCACAGTTGCGTTTGAGCTCTTGGTAGGCAGCACTAAAGAAAGGGTATTTGAAGTAAGTCTTGCATACGATGTAGGACAAATCACTGGTATTCCTTTAAAGAGCAGGTCACCATAGAAACATTTCCGAGAAATTCTGCATCCCATTTTGGTATGTTTTAAGTTTTATTTGTGATATACATAGTTGTTTAGTTCATTTGTTTAAATCCTATAACAAAATAGTAAACATAAACAACTAGTACTTCCTTCAGTATTCATACTGTCAGCAATAAGCAATTGGAGAGTGTGTATGTGTGTGTAATATATATAAGTGTGTGTGTGGATAGATAGATAGATAGATAGATAGATAGATAGATAGATAGATAGATAGATAGATGATAGAGAGTTATAATTCCCTTCTAAACCTGAAGATTTGCAGATATCTGCAGCCATCATGATGTTAGGTGGGAAGGAGAAAATGAAGGAAAAAAGCAAACGCTCCCATATGGAGGAAATATAGTTCAAATCTTCAGATTTAAAATAACACCCCCAGAGAAGGTACTTATAATGAATTTTTTAGAAAACTCCATTGCCTGTCAAAATGAACCTAGCAACCCCCCTCAATCTGAACTGTATTCTGAGAACTACAGTGTAGGAAGCCCTAGGTTGGGAACAAAGTAGTAGGAAGAGGAAGAACGGATGGGTCTTACACTTAGTGGTATTATGTAATATAGTCTCTTCAGCTGTTGGTAAATCTCTAAAAAGCATTCGGGTACCACAAGTACATTTACACCAGGATAGATGGACATTGTAAACATCACCAGTGCATATTTGTATCAGGCCTTTCATGACTAGGAAATTTCCTGACTCATATGTCTCTAGAACAAATACTTTTTATGCTAGTATAAAATGGGGCAGAACAAAAAGAAATTGATGTACAAATAGATATAGCACAACAGAAAATTACAAGAAAGGAAACAAAATAATTAACAATGTTATTATTTTTAGTTATGGGGATTAAAATCTGTTAACTCTGAACATTCGAGCAAAATATTGCTCTTAATTATAAATTACCTATTTGTGATATTTTGAATCCTTTTATCTTTTCACACCATGAACAACCTTACACCTTTAAGCATTGTGCATTTTTTTCCCCAGTCTTATAGCTGAGCATTAATTGTCTGATGATTTTGGGATGGATGACTGAAAACTCTCAGTGCAAGGTATTGAATGTGGTGCCTCATGTTAAGTGATCATTTTCACGAATTTTTATTTGACACCCAGTTTCTGAAAGCTCTATGTTTTTAATAAATTCCTTGGTGTCTCGGACCCTATTAAACAAACAATACTAAATCCTGAATATTTTATGAGCAACCATCTGAATATTGCTGTCTGCATAATAATGAACTTTAAAGTACCCGTATCCCCTGTGTTATAAGTCATGTGATCTCTGACAGTCATTTCAATAGTTTTTAGGCTGAGACTAGAACCTTTCAATAAATTCAACTGTGGTATGCTGTCCCTTATGGTTACATCATGACTAGGGTAGAGCCATTGGAATGCCAACCAAATTTTGGTGTAAATCCTTTATGTACTTTTGCAAGATTCTCTCCAAGACCTCATACCCTGTCTAAATTCTTTGGTTATGAATCACTTCCTTCAGTAACTAAGCAAATATTTAAAAAGTTTTGATTTGGTGTTCAAAGAACTACTACTAATGTGAGGTGATATCTTCTTGTGATTTTTCTTAGCATTTCTCTGGTAATTAGTGATGCTTAACATTTTTTCATATACCTGTTGGCCATTTGTATGTCTTCCTTGGAAAAATATCTATTTAGTTCCTTTGCCCATTTTTAACCTTTTTTGGGCTGAGCTGTGGGAATTTCCTGTATATTTTGAATATTAATCCCTTACCAGATACATGGTCTGAAAATACTTTATCCCATTCTGTAGGTTGCCTTTTCATTTCATTGATTGTTTCCTTTGCTGTGCAGAAGCTCAAAAAAGTAGTTTTTTAAAAAAAAAAAAAAAACTACTACCTATGTCACTATGTTCTAGAATTAAAGCCTTATCTTCTATCTTTCTATCTTCACTGGTGAGAACTGATCCATTTTCTACAAGAAATGAATAAACTATCCTATCCCTGAGAAAACATCAATATTGAGTAATAATCTGACGTCACTAACCACTTCATTAAGTTCACCTTGTGGGGGATAAGAGATTAATTTTAGCAATTTTGTATATCTTATCTTCGTGCAACACCTGATCCCTGGAAGTTGGCCACCTTGTGTTGGTCTTGGCTTACTGGGCCCCTTGCATGAGATAGGCAGGGAGGAAGCATTTCCACTTGACACTCTAAAGGCAAAAGGGCAAATTACAGAAAACAAACTCAAAATTGTTCAGTTATAAAATGTCTATGAAGACTATTCAAAATGTTCAAGATCTCATGGATGCATTCCACTGAGGAGAGGTGAGTAGAGTTGTGTCTGAGATGTCCAGAGGAAAAACCCAATAAACAAAAAGAAGTTAGATGGTGGTGAACAGCAGTCAGAACTCAGACATATATTTCATATGGATAAAAAAACTTTCTCATTTCTTCTGTAAAAACTACTAAACTGAATAAGACTTTAAGTCTAAATACTGCATTAATTTCCTTCCCCTATTTAAGAGCAGATGTTTGGGAGAAGAAATTATATTCCAATAAACTGAATTTTAAGAATGTAACTTCTTTTTTCCTTGATTTCCCTGCACAGCTGGGTCCCACTGTGGTCCTCATGCCTGGATGCATTGTTCAAGCAGAGTTTGGATGGTGATTTGGCTGAGACATTCTAGGTGGACTTTATGTTCAGATGGGTGGGTTCTCCATATGCCCTACGAATCATCTTCTAATCCTTCATTTCCATGACTGGTTATTTCTACATCTTTAGTGTGGTCCTTGGAAGCTCATGGGTCAGGAAAATAAAAACCAGACATGGGTGAGTGAGTTCATTCTGCTGGGGATTTCCAGTGATTGGGGCATTCAGGTATCCCTCTTCGCCCTGATCCTGGCCATGTATTTGGTGACTATTTTAGGAAACACCCTCATTCTTCTTCTGATCAGACTGGACAACAGGCTTCATACCCCCATGTACTTCTCCCTTAGTGTTCTGTCATTTGTGGACTTTTGTTATACAAAGAGTATTGTCCCACAAATGCTGTCCCACTTGCTCTCAGCCCGAAAGTCCATCCCATTCTACAGTTGTGTGCTCCAGCTCTATGTTTCTCTGGCATTGTGTGGGTCTGAGTTCTTCCTGCTGGGGGCCATGGCCTATGACCGCTACGTGGCCGTGTGCCACCCACTGCACTACACGGTCATCATGCATGGAGGGCTGTGCCTGGGGCTGGCGGCCAGCCGCCTGGTGGCTGGCTTCTCAAATTCCCTGATGGAAACAATTATCACCTTCCAGCTTCCTGTGTCACGGTGTTATCAATCACTTTGTCTGTGAGACCTTAGCAGTGCTACAGCTAGCCTGTGTGGATGTCCCCTTCAACAAGGTCATGGTGGCCATCTCAGGGTTTCTGGTGATCTTGCTTCCCTGTTCCCTGGTTCTATTCTCCTATGCTTGCATAGTTGCCACCATTTTGTGCATTCGTTCTACCCAGGTACGCTGCAAAGCCTTTGGGACCTGTGCCTCTCACCTCATTGTGGTTTGCATGTGCTTTGGGGCTACCATCTGCACCTACCTGGGGCCACAGTTGGCCTCCTCAGCAGAGGAAGAGAAGATGATTGCTCTCTTCTATGGAGTGGTGTCACCCATGTTGAACCCCTTGATCTACAGCTTGAGGAATAAGGAAGTTACGGCTGCTGTCCGGAAAGTTTTAGAAAGATGCAGATAAAGGGTCAAGACTCTAAGAACCTCTTGTTATCTATCATCAAAACCAAAAAGGAGATAAGATAATTGTAGACAGGACTCCCACACTTACACTAAAAGAAGACTATTACGGTCAAATCCTTGCATTTGAACCAAGTGTTCCTCCAAATGCTTAATTTGTTTTATATAGGCCAATATCTGAAGATATACATGTTAGGGATCGATAATATGGCTTCTTTGTAGACATCTTCTCTCAGATATCCAGTGACTTGGGGGCTTCACCTGCCCACTTTTGGTTTTATCAGTTTGTCAGTGCATAAAGGAATGGTCCCCATTATCAAGCAGACCTGACTCCTGATCCTTGTTCTGTCTCTCACTGCCTGTGCTCTCTGGCAAGTTATTTCAATAATATATGCCTTAGTTTTCTTTTTTGTTAGATAAGAAAATTGTACCTAGCTTCCCGAATGGAAGCCACTTTTAATGGGAATAATTTCCTCATGAAACAAACATAAGGATATGCCACACTTATTAATAAACACTTATTAATGCATTTATTTCAGTACAGTCAGATTGTGAGAGGCAGAAAATATTGAGAAATCATGGTTTAAATAAAATAGACATTAATTTAGATTTAGGCAAGGTAAGCCTGCCTAACTTAAAGTTATAGGAATTGAGGCTTCTTCTGTTTCTAATGCACTATTCTAGGCATATAACTTCTACCTCATAGTTCAAGAAATGGCTTGAATTTCAGCCAACACATTCACATGCTGTCCATCAAAAATAAAGAAGAGGCCAGGTGGGGTGGCTCATGCCTGTAATCCCAGCACTTTGGAAGGCCAAGGCGGCGGGAAAAATCACTTGAGACCAGGAGTTTCAGACCAACCTGGCCAACATGGTGAAACCCTGTCTCTACTAAAAATACAAAAATTAGCCGGGCATGGTGGTGCATGCCTGTAGTCCCAGCTACTTGGAAGGTTGAGGTGGGAGAATTGCTTGAACCCGGGAGGCAGAGGTTGCAGTCAGCTGAGATCATGCCACTGTACTCCAGCCTGGGTGACAGAGTGAGACCCTGTCTCAAAAAATAAATAAATACATAAAAATAAAGAAGAGAGGAAGGAGCATACCCACTTCCTTTAGAGACCTTTTAAAAAACTCACACAAAAAAAATTGTTGCACAAATTCTGCTGGCAAAGTTAAACTTAGTTACTTGGCCACATACATACTCAAAGGTGATAAGTGTTACTGTTAGTAATCATGTGCCTAAAACACAATCAGAGCTTCTGATATTAAGAAGGAAGAGGAGAATAAATGTTGATAGATCTAATAATTTGTGACCATAGTACTTGCAAGAAAATTAAACACATCAGGTCAATGAAAGACGAGGTGATAGGACAGCAGAATGAGATACAAAAGGAGCTAAGGATTCCAGGTAAAGTAGGGACACACACACACACACACAAACTATTTCAGATTTTAAAAGGACATTAAAGCAGTAAACAGCAAAAATTAATAATATAGAAAAGTTAATCTGTTGTTTGGAATCCAAAAGAAGATAACTGATACAGACAAAAAAGAAACAACATATGGATAATTAGTATTTCTGATGAAAAGACTGAATAAAAATATTTTTTACGTTTAACTATAATTTATAAAAATGTCATTTAAATAAAGGAAGAATTTGTTATTTAGATGAAAGAGCCTTGCCATGTACCTGAAAATTAAAGAAAAGTAAAAGTATTTATGGATATATTGGTAAAAATGACTGAATTTCAAGTATAATGAAAGGATAATAAAGATTCAGAAAACAAACAAAACAGAAAAGTCACTTAGAAAAATGTTAAGCAAGTGCATTAATTTTCTAGTGCTGTGTAACAAATTGTAATAAATTTATAAGTTTAAAAGAACACAAATTTTTTATCTTAACATTCCTGCTGGTGAGAAGCATAGCCAAGTTCTGAACTCAGGGTCTCACAAGGCTCAAATCAAGGTATCAGCTGGGGTTGTGATCTCATCTGGGACTCAGAGTCCTCTCTCAAACTCACCAGTCATTGGAAGAATTCATTTTCTTGCATGTGTGTGACTGAGGTACCCATTATCTTGTTTGTTGCTGGCTGGTGGCTCCTCTAAGCTCCTGGAGGCCACCCTCAAGTCCTTAACCCATGGCCCACTCCTCTCACGACATGGCAGCTTGCTTCGTCAAGAATGACAGGAGAATCTCTATTGTGTCAAATCTCTCTGATGGCTAAGAAAGTCTGGACACTTTTGAAGTTCTCACCTGATTAGGTCAGGCTCACTCAGGATAATCTCCCTTTTGTGTAAATCCAATTCAGCTGATTAATTACATCTTCGAATTCTGTTTTTCCATGTAGTGTAACATTATCACAGGGGTGAAATCCCATCATATGTCACAAGTCCTGCTCATATTGAAGGGGAGAGTATTGTACAGGACATGTACACCAAGAAGTGAGACTCTTGCGGGCCAGGTTGGAATTCAGCCTATGACAGCTAGAATCGGTCTTTGAAATATTAGATGACAGGGACAATAACATCTTTCTATAGAATCCTGAGTGAACATATTGTTAAATAAAAGTTGCATACCTAGTTAAGCCATCATTCATTTTTAAAGGCTATAGATATATACAATTCCATATGCAAAAGTTCAATAAAATTATTACCCATATACCCTTCATGAAGACTGTAAAAACTCTAACAAAAATGTAGGCCAGATGCGGTGGCTCACACCTATAATCCCAGCACTTTGGGAGGCCGAGGTGGGTGGATCAACTGAGATCAGGAGTTTGAGATGAGCCTGGCAAACATGGTGAAACCCCGTCTCCACTAAAAATTAGCTGGGCGCGGTGGCAGTTGCCTGTAATTCCAGCTACTTGGGAGGCTGAGGCAGGAGAATCACTTGAACCCTGGAGGCAGAGATTGCAGTAAGACGAGATTACGCCATTGCACTCCAGCTTGGGAGACAGAGCAATAATCCGTCTCAAAAAAAAAAATGGTAGGAACAACTTAGGATGGCTTAAAATAAAATGCTGGGAGGCATGAAAGTTAAGTTGTGATAGGATAGGTAGCAAACTAAAGCCTTTTGAGTAGATAATTGCGTTTTTAAAAAGACTGCAAATTGACAAGGCAGCCACTCCAGCTCAACCAGAAAAAGTGGCAAGCTGCGACTTGACTAACTGGCCACGTGGGTACTTGAACCAGCCAATGAGGCAGCAAGAGAAGGATGTGAGCGTCACTCTGGGCTCTGCAGAACTCCAGCCCCTGCCACTGCCTCACTCCTATGCTCAGTGCTGCAAGCTGGAATTTTTCTACACTTAAAATGCCACCAGCAGTTGGAAGTTCAGTTGGATACACCCCTTCAGACAGATGTTGGGGGTGGGCAGTCGTAGTGGAAGCTTTCATTTCCATCAACTTCTCTTAGCATTTCTCAAATATATTACTGTCTTCTTCAAAGAGATGGAAGGTATACTCCATGCCACCACCAGCAAAGTGTCACAGATATGCTCCATCATGCTGCCTGTCATGTATGGTGGAGGTCTCATCAGCAGTATCCTGGTGAATAATTTGGCAGTTGTTCAGTCATGATTGTTGGTGTTGCTTGTCAGGCTGTAGCTTGATTGTGGCTTCTTTCTGTAGCATTATACAGGAACTTTACTTGTGTATAGGAATCATTGGAGGTCTTGGGCTTTCCTTTAACTTGAACCTAGCTCTGACCATGATTGGCAAGCATTTCTATAGGAAGTGACCATTGGCCAACAGACTGGCCATGGCAGGCAGCCTCTCTATGCTGGCCTCCTCAGTAAGGCTTTCTTTGGTATCTACGGATGGAGAGGAAGCTTCCTAATTCTTGGGGGCTTCCCTGCTAAACTGCTGCGTAGCTGGAGACCCGATGTGACCAATAAGGTCCAAGCCAACAAAGGCAGGGAAAGAGGTCTAAAGAATTCCTTCAGGAAGCTGAAAAATCAGATGCAAAAAAGGTGCAGGTGATACAATACAGATCTTATTGGAGGACACCCAAAAGAAGGGAAATGATTAATCTTCCAAACAATTAATACATTCTTGTACTCATCCCTGTTTACTCAGAGAGATTTTTTTTGCTGTACCTCTCTGGAAATGTGCTCACATTTTTCTGGACTCTTTACACCTTTGGCCTTTCTCAGTAATGATGGCAAGAGTCAGTATCACTCCAGGAGAAGTCTGCCTTCCTTCTTTCCCTTCTGGCTTTTGTTGACACACAGCAAGGCCTTCTATGGGACTTGCAGCCAACACAAAGCAGATAAGGCCTCAAGTTCTCAAGTTCAGTATTTCTTTGCTGCTTCCATTATCATGAACGGAATGTGCCATTTGCTAGCACCTTTATCCACCAGCTATATTGAGTTCTGTGTCTCTGTGGGATTCTTTGGATTTACCTTAGTGGCTCAGTTCCATATTGTTTGAAATACTGATGGACCTCATTGGACCCAGAGGTCCTCCAGCACTGTGGGTTTGGTTTACCATTGTGGGATGCTGCTGTGTGGGATGCTGCTGTGTCCCCCTGGGGCCACCATTTTTAGGTAATCTCAATGACTTATTGAAATTACAAATAGACATATGGGCATATGGCATAATCTTAATTATTGCAGGTGTCTAGCTCTTCATTGTTAGGTGATAGGTATCAATTATCAACTTTTGGTAAAAGAATAGAAAGCAGAAGAGAAACAGGAAAAGGAAAGTAAAAAGAGAAGAACAGCATAGATGTTACTGAGAAGTCCAAAGTAGTTACTAAAGAAGAGGACTCCCCTAACTAGAAAGGTACAGAAGATGGCCCCAGTGAAGAGGAGAGTCCAGGCTGTACCCATTCAGCTAAAGGGTAAATGGAGCAGTTCATGACCCAAGATATCTGAAAATATTCTCCTGGCCTGGGATCTACCAGTGGTGCTCAATGCAGATAACAGACATTTGTGTGGAAACCATACCAGGTGTTCATTGATGGAATTTTTGTTTCACTCCTTACCAATAGCTTAAATTTAAAATGCCATATGCTTTGGGGAGGGGGTGGTTGATGGTAAAGGATGAGGGAAGGAAGTAGGTTTTGTTTTAATCTTAGCTTTTAACAGTGTCATGAAGATTTTAACATGTGCCTTACAGTTTAGTCTTTAGAAATCTTCAGAGAACTTTTAAAATAATTCTGCTGAATTCATGTATTTTGAGTGTTGTGTTAAAAAGAAAAACCATAACTAACTTGAGATGAATTTAAAATTTAAAAGTAATCTTGCTTCTTTGGCATTTGTAATGTATTGTCAGATATGGTCACTGGAAGATTTATGAATAGAAACGTTGGTTGAAAGTTGGAGATTTTATAAAATGCTGATGAATATGTTTTTCCAGCATCAGTAGTTTTTCTGGCATATGGTTCTGCTATCTATATATTTAGGAAATTTGAAGCATAAAACTTTGGAAGCATCTTGGCTGTTCTAGCCAGATTGTACTTGTCGACACTTCTTGGGTACCATTTCTTGGGATACTTATTAGAAGTCAAATAAGTACTTAAGGGTTGTTTTTATTAAAATACTACTTTGCTCCCCTGTTTAAAGACAGATTTTGAATGGTTATAAATTATTGCCCCTGCTCAAATCACTTGGTATTATTTTTCTCACTGTAAAGGTTAGTATTAAAAATTTCAAAACTATGTATTTGTGACTTCTTAGTAAATACAGCACATCCAATTAAATGTAGACATATTTCAAACATCAGTTGAATTCAGTTTAGGTTTTCCCAAAGCCTTGGTTAAATCATGAGACTATTGGATCTTTTTTGTGAAAGTTTTCTCCTTTGATTCACAGAGGTCTCATTTATATCTGATTCTAGCTTAGTGCTGTGTGTGAGATATACTCTCTGTGTGTTTGGTGGGGTTTTTCTTGTTTTGTTTTGCTTACTTTCACTTTTAGTTTGAATCTTTGCAAATTAAAGAGGGCCAGAAAAATGTGGCACCAAGCAAGCAGATAAGGATAAGGTTATGAGAGAAATTGCTAAGTGTGCCTAGTTTTAATGACTATTTTTTTTTCTTTTTTCTGAGAAGGCCTTAAAGAAAATCATGGTATACTTAGAATTATTGGACACATACTTACTCTCCACACAAAGCTAAAAATTATGTGACCCATTTCACTGACCTGAAAAGTAGAGAAGTAGAAGTAGATTCTACATCAGGATAAAAGAGGGGGTGGACCAAAACAAAAACTAAATATTTCTTATATTCAATGCATTTAATTGACAGAATGAACATATTAGATACAAAACCTTGTGTAAGAGGCTGACTTTTCCAAATAAACTTCTTTTATGGAAAAATAAAAAGCTGTACATTTCTCTCTGTTGAAAGGAAAGAAATAAAAGCCAAAGTGATAACTTAAAAATGAAGCTGCCACCCACAGGGGATGAGGACTTGGATGGAGCCCAGCATCAACAAGTAAGTTTTAATTAGGTCTGATTAAGCACTTCCCTCTAGGAGGCCATCCTAAACAATTTCTTCCTGCATCACAACCCTGTTTATTTGAACTCAGCAGGAAGTTCATACTTTACAGGTGGTCTTTCTTCGTCTTGGTTTTTATCTCCATTTGGCTTACACATCTGAGCAAATTACTCACCTCCTGTGATTCCAAAATCAACCCGAAAGTGATATTACAAAGTTATTGTCATGAAAATGTGATCAAATAATAGGTAGCCAAAACATAGGGAGCAGAGATTTAGAGAGTTGTGTCAGACATCTAATAGATAAAAATATTTTATTTTTATAAACTTTTGATGTTTAAGGTATTTTCTACCTTATAAAACTTAGTTATCCATCATTTTACACTCTAAATAAATGTTTATTTTCATACAATCTTTGTTTATTATTTTATGTTCCTTTCCCTAAAGGGTACCTCGTAAATTATCTGTTTCATACCCCACAAAACCTGAATGTATTTTTACCTGAATTATTTAAATCATAAATTTTTCATTTTCTCCTGCATCATTTCCATAAGCACAAATTTCATATGCCTTTGCCATCTGAAGGAAAAATGAACCTCCTTAAGACCACATCACACCTACCACTTGAGAATAAATCATTTTTAGATTTAAAAAAATAGATCACATTATGTATCACCTTACAGACATGGTCCCATTTCACTATGCTCCTTTACATAGAGATTCCCTGAAGGAACTAACTGCACCTTTCATTCCCATGTTCTCCCCTTCAATCACTGCCCATGAGGTGGAAATTAAAGAAGAAAAAATAAAATTAAAAAGAAAAAGAAACAAACTTTCCTGTATTCAGCTGACTTATCCCAGAGGCAGCAACAGACATGGCCCAGACCCAGGAAAAGCCTCAATAAACACTATCTGAGAAACTAGGACACAAAGGAATGTGCTCTGGAGACTCTCCCAGCACTCCCTCAACATAGGAAGGAGAAAAACAAATTTTCTTTTCTCTTATGGTATGAGTTTATAGATTTCTGTTCTCTGCAACTAGTAACTTCAAATTTTCTGTTTTATCTAAGCAGTACAGTGAAGGTCATGAGCTGTTTGAGCAGGCCTGAGCAACAGCCACCTGGGTGTCATAGCGAAGGTTATGAGATAAGCCCATGCAAGATGCTAGAGCAAAGCCTAGATAACAGCCATCTGGGCTGTGCATCAAGGGTCATGTGTAATTCTGGGTTATGCACCTGTCACAATTTGATTAACTGCCTTTGTTCTGCCTCTGTATCCTTGCTTTCATGCCTTTACGCTTCATGCTACTGTACGCTTGTTTCAAGCTAGCCCACTCCCTTTCAAAGGTGTGTATGTAAGTCAAGTGCTGTCTTTGTTCTTGGCCCAGTTTTTGGATGTTAAGTCTGCTGGGTCTGCGTGCACTCAATAAGGATCCTCTGGTATTCACCCCGTGGTCTCTCTTGTCCTCCTGATTCCTGCAACACTCAGTCTAAACTAAGATTTTGATCCCACCATTCGTCCAAAATAGCTAGTGTATAAATCACTAGAATTTTTCATGTTGCTAAAACCAATGGTCAATTTCAGTCCTCATCTCACTCGGCCTCTCTAGCAGCATATGACACAGTGGATCCCACATTCTCCTTGAATTCCTGTTACCTCATCAGAAAGTTCTCAGACTCCTGTGCAGAAGCCACATTCTCTTCTAGATGTCTATATATTAGATGATTAAGGATTCAAATACAATCTCAAATCCAAGTACACTAATACCCAAGTTGATCTCATCTAATTTTATAATATCAGTAAACACTAAGGACTCCCAAATTATACACATCCAGCGCTGCTCCAGTATCCAACTGCCTACTTGATAACTCTATTTAGATTTTCACATATGCAAGCAAGTCTCTACTTTTACTCCCCTCACCAAAATATTCCTCTTTCTTATCTTAATATATGGCATCATAATTTTTATACTCTTGTTTCCTCCATTTTCCTCATTACATATTCAATCCATAATAAGCAAATCCTATTGTCTCCACATTCAAAATATTGATTTTAGAAGCCATGTAGAATTATGCAAAGATTACCTGCCATGAAAAATTAAAGAGCTTCCTAAGCAAAAAAAAAAAAAAAAAAAACATAAATAAAATCTCTTTTTCAGTGTTTGAATCTCATCTTTCATGACAGGTAATTTTTGATTGAGTGTTGGACACTGTGTTTGGAAAACTGAAGGAGTAATTTGAGGCTCTACATAATGTTATCCTCCTCAAGAGAGGATTTATTTGACTTCTATCAGGCAATTATCTATGAGCTTCTTTATGAAGCATTTTTATTTTTGTAATTTCTTCTTACTCCCAGAGAAGAATACTTTAGAAATCCCAGCTGACCATATAGATGTTTAGAAAAGATCTGTTCCTTAATGAGCCCAGAAAGGTAGCTGTTGCTTTCTCAGTTCTTTGAGTCTACCATAAGTTCTGCCCATTTTCTTAGTCTCTTGACCACTGTTAGACTCAGTAACATTGGTTTTAAGGCATTTTTCAGTTTTATGATTCATGGTAAAAACAATTCCAAAGAAATATAGACATTGACACAATCAGACATAACTATAAAATAACTGATTAACATATTAACATGTTTAAGAAAAGAGAAACCATGTTGGAGAATATTATCAAAAATCTGGAGTCTACTAAAAGGAATCAAATGGTGTTTTTAAATTTAATTTTTTAAAATAAAATTAACAGTCTCAATAGCAGACTAGAGAGAACTGCAGGGGATTTGTGAAGTAGAAGATAAGTCAGTAGAAAATAACCTGATTCAGGGGAGAAATAAAAAAAGAAGAAAAATTTAAAACAGCATTAGTGATTTATGGGATACGCTAAAAAGGTTTAACATTTGGATCATAATGAAAAGGTCTAACCTACTTGTAATTGCAGACTCTAACTGAAAGAAGAAAGATAATGGGAAAAAGAAATTTGTAAGACATAATGGCAAAACATTTTCAAAAATTTAATACAGTCATCAAAACACAGATGCATAAAGTGTTACAAATCTCAAACGGGAAAAATACAATAGAAACATACCTAGGTATATCAGAGTAAAACTGCTGCAAACCAAAGGTAACACAATTTTTCTTTTTCTTTTATTTATTTATAATTTATTTTTTAATTTTTTTGTGGGGTTGGTGCGACGGAGTCTCACTCTGCCGCCCAGGCTAGAGTACGGTGGCGCAGTCTCAGCTAACTGTAACCTCCATCTCCCTGGTTCAAGTAATTCCCCTGCCTCAGCCTCCCAAGTAGCTGGGATTACAGGCGCATGCCACCACACCTGGCTAACTTTTTTGTATTTTTAGTAGAGACGGGATTTCACCATGTTGGCCAGACTGGTCTCGAACTCCTGACCTCAGGCAATCCACCCACCTCAGCCTCCCAAAGTGCTGGGATTACAGGGGTGAGCCGACGCGCTCAACCACAATTTTTCTTTTTAAAGTATTCAGAGAAAGAAATAAAATTATCTTTAAAGAACCAAGATAGAAGCAAAATGTTTTCTTCCCTGAAGGAGGATGGGAAATCTCTCAGCTCCTACCATAAGCCTTGCAAACAAAATCAACATTTGTTTACCTCTGGAGAAAGGTCAGAAAGCCTTCTTGCCACTTGTCCAGACAAAAGTGAGTTGCTACTGAGGGAAAAGTAGAAGTAAAAGCAGTTTGCTCTTAGGGAAGAGGTAGAAATCCATTCAAGCTAGGATCCTGCCCTGCTACTAGGAGTCCACTAGGATAAGGGCAGAAACTCCCACCCATGACCAGTCACAAATAAAAAGTAGAGTCTGGCTGCCATGACTGGTGAGATGAGGTAGGAACACCACTTCCCAAGTCTCAGGTTTATAGGGGCTGACTAGGATGGAGGCTGGATCAGGGAAAACAAGGATATCTTTGCCCCTGTCACAAGCCTTGCACCAAGAAAAAATCAACAGCACCTATTTCCGGGAAAGAAGCCAAAGTATGGAGATACCTTGTATTACAAAGGCAATGCTACGCTTGGTAAAATTTGGGTAGAGCAGGAACACTGATTAAAATCTCCTATTTAGGTTCAACAAAGCATCATTCTTCATGGTCAGAAGAATTTGAAATCTGTGGAGCACTGCAAGTAATTATAGTAACAATACCCAAAACACCTCAACCACTTACACACATAGTCTGACAGAAGGACCAGCACCCCATTTTTAAGTATAAATACTCTATAGCCTAGTCTCTACTGTTCTTTTACCAACAATTTCCAGCATTTAATAAAAATTATATTTCAAAAGCAGCAAGAAAATACTTACTCATTGTTAAGTGAAAGCATTCAAAAGAATCAGAACCAGGAATGATCTAGACTGGATCTATCTATCAAACAGGAATTTTACCCTAACTATAATTAGGATATAGCAGAAAACATAAGCAATGTGCATGAGAACATGAGAAATTTTAGTAGAGCAATAAAACTGTTTCTTAAAGTAAAATAGAAATGCTAGAAACAAAAAAAAACAACATAAAAATAGATTATTTCTTTGATGGAGTTAAGACTATCACACAGGGAAGAGTCAGTGAACATGAGGTTATGGAAACAGAAATTATCCCAACTGGAATAAAAAGAGAAGAGTGAGTGGATAAAAATAGAACAAGCTGTACAACAACATAAAACAATCTAACAGATGTTTAATTTGAGTCTAAGAAGAAGACAGAGTAACAAGGCAAATGAAATATTTTCAGATATCATGGCTAAAAGTTTTGCAAAATCAATGAAATAAATCCCAGATTCAAGAAGCTCAGAGAATCCTAAGCAGGATAGAGAAAAAAATCATATTCAAATTGCCAAAACTCAGATACCAAAATAAAATCTTGAAGATGTGTATAGAAAAAGAAATATTATACACACATACAAAGATAAAATTACAACCCATTTATCATCAGAAATGAGGCACAGCATAAGACAAAGGAGGGCACCTTTAAAATGCTGACAAGAAAAAAACTCTCATCTAGAAATCTATACACAGTGAGAATTTCTTTCAAATATAAGCATGGAATACTTTTTCAGATAAACAAAACTGACGTACTTTATCACATGTGAGTACACTGCAAGAAATATTAAATAAAGTTCTTCAGGAAGAAGAAATGTGATACCAAATGGAAATTTGAACCTACAAAAGAAATGAAGAGTGCCAGAGATGGCAAAAATAATGAAGGCAAAAAAGATTTATTTTTATTAATTGTAAATAAGAACTGACTGAATAAAGTAAAAGTAGTAACTGTATTGTGGAGTAAAAGTAAATGTATTGTGAAGTTTATAACACACTTAGAAATAAATGCCAACAACCATAGCACAAAGATGAGAGGGAAAAAAATGGAAGTGAACCGTTGTAATATTTTTACATGTTTTGTAAAGGACTATAATATTATTTAAAATTGGACTATGATAGACTAAATATTTATGTTTTAGGCTGGGCACGGTGGCCCGCGCCTGTAATCCCAGAACTTTGGGAGTCCGAGGTGGGTGGATCACCTGCAGTCAGGAGTTCGAGACCAGCCTGGCCAACATGGCGAAACCCTGTCTCTACTAAAAATATAAAAATTAGCTTGGCATGGTGGTGGGCACCTGTAATCCCAGCTAATCAGGAGGCTGAGGCAGAAGAACTGCTGGAACTTGGGAGGCGGAGGTTGCAGTGAGCTGAGATCACGCCATTGCACTCCTGCTTGGGTGACAAGACCAAAACTGCGTTTCAAAAAAAATAAATAAAAATAAAAATAAGTTATGTTTTAAAATTTAGAGCAACTAGTAAACACATTTAAACAAAGGTATAACTAATAAGCCAATATTAGGTATAAGATGAAATTATTAAAATTAATTAATAAAAAGGCAAAAGTGTAGAAAAAGAAAACAAAAGCAAAAGCAACAACAACAAAAAAAACAAATAGCAAAATGGTACACCTAAATACACCTTCATCCTCTAATAGCAGTAAAGGTAAATAATCTAAAACACAATGATTAAAAAGCAGAGAACAACATATAGAATTGAATAGAAAGACCCAACTGTGTGCTCTCTACAATCAATGAACTCATTTTTAATATAAAATAATAAATTGATTAAATGTAAAAAGATAGTGAAGATCTACCATGCAACACTATGTCAGAAAGCTGGAGTGACTATAATAATTTCTAATAAATTCCCATAAGAAGGTATATTACCAGAATTAACATAGGATATTGTATAATAAGGGAGTTGATTTTTCAAGACAATATAATAATTTTAACAATTTAATAATAGCACTAAAAATACAGAAAGAATAGACAAACCCATCATTATTAGTGAAGATGTTAACATAATTTTCTCAGTATTTGATAGATCAAGTAAACGATAAGAAAGTCAGCAAATATGGACGACCTGAACAACACCATCAACTAGATTAACCTAATTGACATTTTTATAAAATTCTACTCAGCAATAGAAGACTACAAATGTCAACATATTTGAAATTGAAATTATACAAATATTTTCTTTTAACATAATGATATTAAATTAGAAATAAGGAAGTGATATTAAATAAGAAATAAGGAATAAACCAAAACCTCTGGAAAAATCCCCAAATGTATGAAAATTAAACTCTATACTTCTAACTAATCAATAAGTCAAGGAAATCACAAAGAAAATTAGAAAACATATTTCAAATTGAACAAAAAACAGAGCCTAGAGAAAAATGTGAAGCACTAAACGCTTTTGTTAGAAGTGTCTCAAATCAATGACTCAGAGTTTTACCTTATGAAACTAGACTGAAAAGATAAAACTAAAGACAGAAGATGCAGAAGAAACAAAATAAAATATAAAATGATGCAGAAAAACAGAAAAATAGTAGAGAAGTTCAATGAAATCAAAAGCAAGCTTTGAAAAGATCAATAACGTTGAAAAATCCGTAGTCAGACTGATCAAAACAAAGAGAGAAAACACAAATAAAGACACATACAATTAAAGAGAACACATCTCTACAGATCCTGCAGACATTAGAAACAACACTAAGGTAATAGTTTAATAGCTTTATACCAAAAATTCAAAGAACTTGAGTGAAATAGTTAAATTCCTGAAAAATCAAAAGCTGCCAAAGCCCACATAAGAGAAAATAGGTAGCCTGACTCCCTATCTATGAAGGCAATTGATTTTTTTTTTTTTTTTTGAGACGGAGTCTCGTTCTGTCGCCCAGGCGGGAGTGCTGTGGCGCGATCTCCGCTCACTGCAAGCTCCGCCTTCCGGGTTCACGCCATTCTCCTGCCTCAGCCTCCCGAGTAGCTGGGACTACAGGCGCCCGCCACTGCGCCCGGCTAATTTTTTGTATTTTTAGTAGAGACGGGGTTTCACCGTGGTCTCGATCTCCTGACCTCGTGATCCGCCCGCCTCGGCCTCCCAAAGTGCTGGGATTACAGGCGTGAGCCACCGCGCCCGGCCGGCAATTGATTTTATGGTTAAAAATCTTCCTTGTGGAAAAATCCAGGTCCAGATGCCTCCACTAATGAATTCTACCACATATAAAAAGATAATATAGTGCTACTTCTACACAAGTCTTTCAGAAAATAGAAAAGAATACTGACTATTATTTTATGAACCCAGATTTACCTGATAACAAAACCAAATATATAAGAAAAGAGGCTGGCCACAGCGGCTCACACCTGTAATCCCAACATTTTGTGAGACCAAAGTAGGCAGATGCTTGAGCCCAGGAGTTCAAGACCAGCCTGGGCAACATGGCAAACCCCATCTCTACAAAAATACAAAAAAGTTAGCCAAGTGTGGTGGGGTGCACCTGTAGTTTCAGCTACTCAGGAGGCTGAGATGGGGGGTGAAGGGGTGGCCTGCCCCTCCACACCTGTGGGTATATCTCAGCAGGTGGGATGAGAGACTGAGAAAAGAGATAAGACACAGAGACAAACTATAGAGAAACAACAGTGGGCCCAGGAGACCGGCCCTCTGTTCCCTCAGCACCGGTCTCTGAGTTCCCTCAGTTTTTATTGATTATTATTTTCACTATCTCAGCAGGAGGAATGCAGTAGGAGAGCAGGGTGATAATAGAGAGAAGGTCAGCAAGAAAACATGTGAGCAAAGGAATCTGCTTCACAATTAAGTTCAAGGGGAGGTACTATGCCTGGATGTACACGTTGGCCAGATTTATGTTTCTCTCCGTCCAAACATCTCAGTGGAGTAAAGAATAACAAAGCAGCATTGCTGCCAACATGTCTCGTCTCCTGCCATAGGGTGGGTTTTCTCCTATATCAGAACTGAACAAATGTACAATCGGGTTTTATACCGAGACATTCAGTTCCCAGGGGCAGGCAGGAGGCAGTGGCCTTCCTCTATCTCAACTACAAGAGGCTTTCCTCTTTTACTAATCCTCCTCAGCACAGACCCTTCATGGGTGTCGAGCTGGGGGACGGTCAGGTCTTTCTCATCCCACGAGGCCATATTTCAGACTATCACATGGGCAGAAACTTTGGACAATACCTGGCTTTCCAGGGCAGAGGTCCCTGTGGCTTTCCGCAGTGCACTGTGCCCCTGGTTTATCGAGACTAGAGAATGGCGATGACTTTTACCAAGCATACTGCTTGCAAACATTTTGTTAACAAGGCACATCCTGCACAGCCCTAGATCCCTTAAACCTTTATTCCGTACAACACATGTTTTAGTGAGCTCAATGTTGGGGCAAAGAGGCTAGGGTAAAGAGGTTAGGGCAAAGTTACAGATTAACAGCATCTCAGGGCAAAGCAATTGTTCAGGGTACAGGTCAAAATGGAATTTCTTATGTCTTCCCTTTCTACATAGACACAGTAACAGTCTGATCTCTCTTTCTTTTCCCTACAGGGCGGATCACTTGAGCCTGGGAGTTTGAGGCTGCAGTGAGCCATGATTGTGTCACTGCACTTCAGCCTGGGAACAGAGCAAGACCCTGTCTCAAAACAAACAAACAAAAACAAAAGAGTCCAATAACCTTCATGGACACACAACCATTCTTAATAAAATGTTAGCCAATCAAGTCCATCAAGTTACAAAAATATAATAGATTGTGACCATGGGGAGTTTATGCAGGAAATGCAATGTTGATTCAACATCCAAAACTAATTCTAATCAATGTTATTTCATTTATCAACAGACTAAAAGGAAAAACCAATTCATCATCTTAATAGATGCAGAAAAGACAGTAAATATAATTCAATACTCATTAATGACAAGGACTGTAAAAGACTAGTTATAGAAGATACTTCTTAACCAAGGATGGTGTCTAATGAATAACTTGCAGCTAACAACAGCTAACATTATGAAAGATTAATTTTCCTCTAACATTGAAAAAATGACCTGTATGTTTATACTCATCATTTCTCTTCAACTGAGAGTCCTAGCCAAAATCATAAGGTCAGGAAAAAATAAATAATAGGGATACAAATGAGAAAGAAACAAAATAAAACAATTTTAAACTTCAGGCAATGTTATTATATACATAAAACATAAAGACTCTACGATAAAGCTTGTAGACATAAAGGAGTTTGGCAAGGTTGCAAGTGGCAAAGACAATATATAAAGTAAATATATACACACACACACACATATACATATAAGTATAAAAAACACACCATTAAAAAAATGAAGTAAGGAATTCCATTTCTTCATAGCTCCATAAAAACAACTAACAAGGCCGGGCATGGTGGCTCATGCCTGTAATCCCAGGACTTTGCGAGGCCGAGGCAGGTGGATCATGAGGTCAGGAGTTAGAGTCCAGCCTGACCAACATGGTGAAACTCTGTCTCTACTAAAAATACAAAAAGTAGCCACCATGGTGGTGCGGTGCCTGTAATCCCAGCTACTCAGGAGGCTGAGGCAGGAGAATCACTTGAACCTGGGAGGCGGAGTTTGCAGTGAGTGGAGATTGCACCACTGCACTCCAGCCTGGGCAACAGAACAAGACTCTGTCTTAAACAAAACAAAACAAAAAACAAAAAACAACTAATAAGATGGCAAAAACTGTCAGAATTAGCTTTTGTTTAACTATGGATTCTAGCCAAAAGTTTAAAACAAACAATGGAAGATTAATGAAAACAGAAGCTGCCACATTGCAGTAACAGAGTTTTGGGCATTTAAACTACCCACCTATCCTCGCTCACTTCCCAGATTGGTGTCAGCTGTGAAGATAACAACCCACACTTCTGGCACAGATTTAACAATGTGCGTGAGAAAGAGCAATATGAACCTTATTCTCAAAGAAAACTGGTTACAATTTTCTAACCATTTGGAAGCCAACTAAAGGGCTTACCTTTGTGTTTCTTGAATGGAAGTTTTCCCAGGGCTGGGGTAGCTTCCTAGGTACCATTTGCTGAATGCAGTTAAAAGCAAAAGCATTGGTTGCAGCAGTCTTGGTCTAGGGATAAAAGTGGTAACAAGCAACAGACAGAAAAGATTGGGAAGAAAATAGGTTGGGGAAGAAGGTACATTGGAAAATAAGGGATTTTTTTATAACTCAGGTGTATGCCAGAAAACAAAGAAAGCCAGGTGTATATCCAGAGCAGAATGCATGCTCAGAAAAGGCCTGAGAAGGCCCTAAGATTTCACCTCTGAATGACCTTCAGGGTCTGCCCAATAACAATTGACAGCTAAAACCGAGTTGTAATGGCCAAAGTGTGGAGGTGTGCCCCAAACAGAACTAGTGTCAACCCCAACAGAGAACAATAATAAAGAATAAAATGCTCCTTATAATAAAAACAAACAACAACAAAAAAAGTGGACATAACAACAAATATACGTGGACTCCGAAAGAAGAAGGCAGATAGCCAAGGGACCTCAGGCACAACACACAGGTTCTTGGAGTTTCCCTATTGCCTCCCGTATGTATTGAACAGGAATCTGCAGAAGACTTCAACCTGAAACCAATTGGTATAGGAAAAAAAAAAAACTCCAAGGAAAGCCTGTACAGCTGAATTCTAGGATAAGATCGTGTCAACATGTCCCAGAATACAGCCAATGTTTATCTGCTAAATATCTCCATTCTAGAATTGCTTGTATAAAATGTTGACTCCAGGAGTCAAAAATGATTGTCACAGTAACTCACAGAATCTTCTCACAGTAGATGGACATTTTCTATCTTTGGAGGAGAAATGTGGTCCCCCTCAGTGACAACCATATCACAGCAGCTTAAAACCATGTTGAAAAATTGTGGTTAATATAAAATAATACATTTTAGAGAAGTCAGTTTTTCTGAGACTTGGAGATAAATCAAGGCCAGAGACTTGAAAGAGATGCCTTACTTTTATTTGCTACTACTTGGTTTTCATACTTCAGTCCTGTAAGAGAAATTGTACTGAAGGCTGCTTGCTTAATTACCATAAACATGTGTGGCTCTCCACACTGAACTGTTTATAACTTTTAATATATTCATCTACCATTGCATCAAATCACAGTGAATCTGATAGCTTTTCTTTGTGAGAGGGCAACTTAAGAGTTCTGCCGGCTACAGAAGAAGTGATTTTTAGTACACTAGAGCTTTGTACCAGAATGTGAACTATTGGTCAAATGGTACCCATGGGCAGCTGACAAAGTGACAATAATTCCATCAGGATAAATTTACTTAGTGAACAAGTTGACATAAGTATCTAAAACAAAAACTGTCATTTAAACTTGTACTAAAATGTACTAATATCAGTCTCCTTTGGGCATCAATATCACATTTGGAGCACTTGCATGATCATCCTGTTTCAAGTAAGCCAAAGATGGAAGAATATTCGAAAGTCTGTATATAGAGATTTCACTGCAGTACATTTTTCTCTTCATCTGTCAAAAAATATGGTTCTTTCCAAAGTGCGTGGTCATAAGTGGACCTTTTTTTCCTATGGAACTAATAACATATAAAACAATTAAGATCACCACAATGGGCAAATGGAAATTTCTCTTGGATCCCACAAGAGAACTGAACTGCCATTGTCAAGGTTCTTTTCTCTTGGGTCTTGGCAGATATGTAGGGAAAGTCTTGGTACTCTATAAAGCCCTCAGAATCCAAAGGTCTTCACAGCTCAGTGTGCCTAAAATCACTGCCATGTTCACCAGGAAGGTGATGGGCACCCTAGTCCCAGGGTGCTGGACGAAGCAGCCTCGTGCCACATCAGATGCAGATGTGGTCCTAGTGCCTAGGGCTCTCCTGTCATCTTATCCTGGCTTTCAGCTTGAAAGCAGTGGGGCAATCTGTACCCAGTCACTCTTTCTAGGTTTAGAAAGTGGGTTCCTCACATCTATTCAATACCTGAATCTTTTTCTTCTGCATCTTCCTATTTTAGAATTGGTGAAGGCTTTGTTTTCACATTTCATCCTATCAGAGGCTGCTGTGCCAAGGTAAGTGCTCCCTCTCAGAGCATTACTTTCTCACTATGCAGGCAGCCCTGTTTCAGGCTCCTACAGCGCAGCAACATTTAAACTCTAAAATGTTTAATGCCTCTCTGTTCTATCCACTCTCAATTCCTAGCAATCGGTCCGGATAATATTCTTGTCTCCTGAAATCTAAGTGCAGCCAGTTATGCAGTGAGCTGAGGGAGCAGGCTCCTCTTGCCACTTTGGAGACATCTCTCTGTGTGGGATCAAAAATTAGTGCCCCAGATTATGATCCCAAACTTTAGATCCCTACCATTGACCCGATGACCTGATATCCCTGTGCTGCAACCACCACATCTTCCTGGCAACTTGTTTCTGGTGGTGGCTACAAAAACTGCTGCTATCTTGGCAGGGGCGGAGGTTAAATGTTCATCAAATTCAAATTACTTGGAACCTACGTATGTATAGAACCCTGACAAAGTTGGGGAAAAGTGCATAGCAGCAGACATAAGAAACAAAGATGTTTGATTCTAGACCAGTGGTAAATCTGCTATGAGGGGTAACATGTTTGAGTATGCTTAATGGAGTAAAAACTATTATAAGTAAAAAGGCTGTACATATTTTGCAGTAAGGTGATACATAAAAATACCAGTATGCAATAATTAGTGCCAGTGCACCTTCATTCAGTTAATGAGAAATAAGGAATTCTTTGTTTTTCTTGTAGAGCTTCCTCTAGAAGTGAAAACTTATGTAACTTGTGAACAAGTATAGCTAAATATGTCCATCTTTGTTTCTTTGACAAATGTTATAAGCTAGAATGATTTTTCTCTTCTTTGTGTGTATCTTTAAGTGTATGCTATGAGGGTGCTTTCTAACGGGTCTATGAATCTCTGGTTTGGCAACCTTGTCCCATCCTAACCCATCCTCCCACATCAAAAACAAGAATATAATAAGAGGATGTTGTCATCCTGCTGACAAACAGTGATTACTTATTGTCTATACTTCAGGATAATTCTTAAATGCCTCACTATTCCATGATCTGGTCCGTGACAACAGAGTCTCTCTCTTTCTCTTTCCATCCATCTCTTTTCTGCTCATTCACTCACTCACAACTTGCCCACTCACGCAGCAATTATGAGTTGAGTTCCTGAAAATTTCAAACTGTTTCAGATCTCCGTGCCTTTGTTCACTCTGATTCATCTGCCAAAAATGCCTTTTCCTCCTCCTAATTTATATTTCAAAACATATCCAATCATTATTCTCAGATACATTTACCAAGCATTTCTATACATTCATTTCTGTTATGTGTGTCTGATTGAATATGTACTTGTATCATGTTGCTTTCTTTTTAACATTTGGGTTCATCTCTAATAGTCTCAGCTTATAATAAAATTTCAGCAGGATTAAAGAACACTTCCTAAAATAGTCAGGAATTTTAAATGTAAAATACATTGGTAAGTCCAAAATGTGATATTCTTCATCAGTGTGTTTCACTCTAGTGGTTAAGGACATGCCTTTGTAGTCGGACCTGGGCTTTATGATTCTGATTTTATCACTGTCTAACTTGGAAATATTATTTAATCTATCTAAACCACAGTGTCTTCTTTGAAATTAGAATAGCAATGTCTAATTAACATTATTTTGTGGATTAAATGGGATATTGCATGAAAAGAACTTCCCAGCACCTATTAAATACTCAATAAATTATTATTAGAAGATTTTCTGAACTGATAGTAAGACAGTTAGTAAAGATAGTAAGATAGTTAGTAAATGATGCCATCTAACTACCTTAGTAAATGGCATCACCTCTAGGTAATAAGCTCTATATTTGGGGTTCCTCCGTGATTTCTTTCTTTCTCTCACCTTCCATATCCAAGTCACCAATTACTGTTAAAGATTCTGCTTCTAACGTGTATCTTAAATCTGCTTCTCTGGAACCACAGTATTTAAGTTCACTGTCACCTATTCTGAGTAGCCTCCAACTAGTTTCATAGCTCACAGCTCATGCTCTTGCCTCCAAGGAGTCCGTTTTGCAACGACAGAGTTATCTTTCCATTGCGTAAATCATATCATGTCCCATTCACCTTTAATCTTTTGCTTGTTTCCGACTGCTTTTAGACCACTGTTCAGATCCCTGATTGTTATAACCTCTGGGGTCCTGCACCTTCTGGCCCTGGCTTCCTGCCTTCTTCCTTGGCTCCTTTCCCATCCATCACAGCATGGCAATCATATCTCCTTCAGCACAGCTCCCTACAACCTCAGCCCTTCAAAGAGCTGGGGTCCTAGAATCCTTCCCAGCCTTAATATTACCTCCTCAAAGGTCAGAGGGACCTTTCCTGATTACCTTAGTATTATGTTGTGTCTGTTAACCTTCATAGAAAATATTTCAAATTTTATAATGCATCTCTATCTTTGTTTGCTTGTCTTTAAAAATCTTCACTCAGTGATCCCCATTTTCACTCTCAAGAATGTCAAATTCCCTGAATGAGCCCATGTTTACTTTGCTCATGGCTTTGCCTTGGATCACAGCAGATCCTCCCCTCCCTCCAGTTAGTGTATTCCTACCTTCATCACTGCTCTAATATGGGGGAAAATCCCCTTTCACGATTATTGCCATTAGTTTATATAAAATTTCATTTACATTAACTCATTTGGATTTTGATCCTCAATGAAATAAGCTGAATAAATATTAATATTCACATTGACGGAAGAGAAAACTCAATCTCAGAGAGGGTAAGATTTCAAGGTCATAGCAAATCGGTGGCAGACCTTAGACTTGAATGAGGTCCAGGAGGTCTTTAATACTGAAAAGCCCAAATCTCTGCTACTCACTTTCTCATGTACCTCATAGGTGATGACAGCTACTCTCTATCTCCAGGGATGGTAGATGAAAATAATAGCATGTGAAGGATAAAGGAGTTGTAAGGAAGAACTTCCAGAGCTCTGGGTAGGTGGAGAGACAGGAAGGTCAGGTGTATCTTTTGGAATTGGCAATTGTTAGGTGTCAGATGGTGCAAGATATTAGAAGGAGCGTGGGCTTTAGACTGAGACTTGAATGTGATTCCTGCCCTGCTACCAGTGACAACGTGGTCAGTTACTTAATTCCTCTCCAAGACACGATTTCTTCATCTTTAAAACAGATACAATCACACACACACACACACACACACACACACACACACACGGCTATGTGGAAATTAAATTACGTTGTGTGCCTCACGTACCCAGTTCATGGTCTGACCTGTAATATGTATTAATAAATGATAACTATTACTGATAGAGAAGACAAGTATGGAAAAATATAGCTGGGCCATGGAGTCTGATCAAATGATTTTTCCTCCCCAGGAGAGCTAAGCCCTGTGTCTCCAATATGGAGTTGGAGAACCAGACACGAGTCACCAAGTTCATTCTGGTGGGATTCCCTGGGAGCTTGAGTATGCGGGCAGCCATGTTTCTGATATTCCTTGTGGCCTATATTCTGACAGTGGCTGAAAACGTGATCATCATCCTATTGGTGCTGCAAAATCGGCCACTGCACAAGCCTATGTACTTCTTCCTGGCCAACCTGTCCTTCTTGGAGACCTGGTACATCTCTGTGACTGTGCCCAAGTTACTGTTTAGTTTTTGGTCTGTGAACAACAGCATCTCTTTCACACTCTGTATGATACAACTGTACTTCTTCATTGCTCTCATGTGCACAGAATGTGTGCTTCTGGCCGCCATGGCCTATGACCGGTATGTGGCCATCTGTCGCCCACTCCACTACCCAACCATAATGAGCCATGGGCTCTGCTTCCGCCTCGCTCTTGGTTCCTGGGCCATTGGCTTTGGCATCTCCCTGGCGAAGATCTACTTCATCTCCTGCCTCAGCTTCTGTGGTCCCAATGTCATCAACCACTTCTTCTGTGACATCTCTCCAGTACTTAATCTCTCCTGCACAGACATGTCCATAACTGAGTTGGTAGACTTTATCCTGGCACTGGTCATCTTCCTATTCCCACTCTTTATTACTGTCCTGTCCTACGGATGCATTCTGGCCACCATATTATGCATGCCCACAGGAAAGCAGAAAGCGTTCTCCACTTGTGCCTCCCATCTTGTGGTGGTCACCATTTTCTATTCAGCCATTATTTTCATGTATGCTCGACCTCGAGTTATCCATGCCTTCAACATGAACAAAATTATTTCCATCTTCTATGCCATTGTCACTCCTTCTCTCAACCCTTTCATTTATTGCCTAAGAAACCGAGAGGTCAAGGAAGCTCTGAAGAAACTGGCATATTGCCAGGCCAGCAGATCTGACTAGTCAATTACAGCTGATTAGAAAGAAAGGTCTGAGTGGGTGCCTGTATGTCTTCCTCCATCCTTTCTCCTTTAACGACTCAGTTAGGACACTGCCCATGTTAATATGACATCACCATGTCTACTTCAATCTCAGGCGCTTGGGTATCTGCATCTGTGCATATGGTCAGTGCTCTAAGGCCATACACCTTCTAGAGAGCTAGAGAAAACAGTTCTCAATGGTTGTGACCCCAAATGGGGTTTCTAAGACTGTGAGTAAATTTATAACTGAGTTAAGTAGGAAGAGAGATGGTGATGGGTGAGTTAGCTGTTTTTGGATCTGCCATACACTAATAGCTCTGGGGCCAACAAAATAGGTGGTAGCTTCCTGATTTCCCATCTTTCTAAGACAGAGGTAGCAACTCCCTCAACAGTCTCATTCTTGATGTTCTGGGAGTGAATTTTGGTGGCAGAGACTGCTTCCTGAGTTTTTGCAACACTTTTTGCAAGCACTTACTAACCTGTATTAAATCCCTTTCTGCTTAAACTAGTTAGAGTGCTTTCTTTTATCTGTAAGTGAATTGTACCTTACACAATTGTGTTTTGTCTTCTGATATAACTCACACAGTTGCCTTTTATTGAATTTTATATTTCCCTTCTAGGTGCCACAATGTATCCTTTAGTGGATGAACATAAAATAGATGATAAATAAATATCATCAAATATATGAATTGCCAAACAATAATTGCCCTCATTACTTCTCTTTTCTTTTGATCTTGATATCCTCTTGTTCCCGCCCCGCACCCCCCTTCCCGCCCTCTCTTTTATCTTCTCTTGGTTTTCCACTTTCTCCACACTCAACTCAGAGATAAGTAACAGGTTTCAGGAATTGACAGAGATTTTCATTCCATGCCATAGTGATTCTCAACTTTCCTTACCTATATATCTAACACCCTCTACACACACGCTAGAACCTCATTGATCAAATGTGCTTTACACCCATAGAAGGTACATAGATATGCTTGCTCTTGGTTCATAGTTTTGCCATTGGCAAAGGGAGATATATTTTTAAGCTGTATTCAACATAGTGGGCCAACATCAGTGGGAATTTAATTCTTTTATTGTAACAGTTTTAAACAGGAGAGTTTCTTGCATTAATAACATCTTTTAGCTAAGAACAAACCACACTTTCAAGAATGCTTTCTCTTTCTTCTTAATTAAGAAACGTGAGGCAGAATTATTTGTTCCATTTTATAAACTTCCAGAACAGATGTTCAAGGAAGTAAATAACATACAACCACAGACAGTGGGAGAGCAGAGGTCAAAGTCCCAGTTCCCTGAATCCAAACCCTGGGTCTTTCTCTAGTGAATGGGCTCTCCCTAGAGAGAAAACATACTTCTTTAGAAGCCAAGTATGAAAGCTAGTTGTAAAGGAATATAGTTGGAATTATGAATTACTATACCTGCAGAACAGTAATAAAATAAAAATGAAAACATGTGAATTATAGGTCCCAGAGGAAAAAAGAAACAAAAATAAAATGCAAGCACAACTTGCTTTAGGGAATAAATGTGCAAAAGAGAACAATGCTTAAAATGGAAAGGATTTAATGTTTGCTTCTGGAATGTAGTTTGGTCCCTTGATGCAACAAGTAAGTTGTGATGAATATATTTCTATTTAAAATCTAGACACACAAAAAAGAGATTATTTTCTGAAAACTTCAAATGAATCAAAATATAATTGCATAGTCATATAGGGATATTAAATGTGTGCATTAAGAAAGGAAAAGACATGTTCAGTAGGGATTAGGAAATGAAAGATAAAAAAACTCTGGCAATAACTTGAATTTTAGCCCTGGATATATATTCACCATGTGACCTTGGCCAAACCATCTATACTTTTGGAAACACTGAGTCTTTATGTGTAAAACAGGAGTAATAATAGTTGCTTGGTGTTTCTTACGCAATGGTTATGAGGATCAACTACCATGATGGAAAAGACATTGATTGTTAAATATCTTGGGCAGTGCATGATCTAAGCAAGCTGCCACTAGATTAGGGTTTGCATGGGAAAACTGTTTGGGAAGGCTATGCTCTCTGGACCTGTCTAAAACAATTCCACACCTAGTTGACTCCACATACTATAGTTATAGTTAACCTGGGAGGCTACAACTATCAGAGGCAGTTTATTTCTTTATTATTTCTCATGAATATCTTGGAAAGGGAGAATGTAGAAGTAGGGTTTCTTGGGGAATTCTATTAAATTTTTTTTTCAAATAACAGATGGAACATTGAGCTCCTTCCCCTTTGTGGAAGGAATACCTAAGTGCACAGGCTCAGCAAAGTAAGGACACAGACCAATGTAGAAATCTGCCTCAACAGAGAAAATAATGTATAGTGGATTACTGGTTAAATTCACATAGAAACAAGCTATTTCTAAGGTGACACACAAAGCAAGCCGGAAGTTTCAGGGCATTTGGTGATCTTGTTGGGGTAACCATCATAAAAGGCTGGTAGTCAGTTTCAGTAGTTTATCCAGAGAACATGCCCTGAAGATTTGATTATCACCATCCAAACTCATAAGGAACCCCACAAAATAAAATATAAATATATATTAATTACACATGCAGTATATATTTTAAATCACTATATTTATTCATTCATTTAACTAATATATATTAAAGATCTATTATGTACGTGTAGGGATACAATAGCAAAATATTAAAACTTGTTACCTTTGTGAGCAGAAACAGATAGCAGATAATACCTTTGTGTGTGTGTGTGTGTGTGTGTATACATATATATATCTAACATACATACATATTGTAATGGGTTGAATGGTGGCTCCCAAAAATATATTTTCACACTTTCAACCTGGAACTTGTGATTGGGAACTTATTTGAAAAAAAAAGAGTCTTTGAAATATAATAAAGTTAAGGACCTCAAACTGAGACCATTCTGGATTATCCGAGTGGACTCAATGTCCAATGACAAGTTCCTTATATGAGAGAGAAGAGAAAACAGAGAAGGTGATGTGAAGGTAGAGATAGAGATTGGAGTTCTGCATCCACAAGCCAAGAAATACCTTGGGCCACCAGAAGCTGGAAGATATAAGTAATGATTCTCCCCCCCTAGAGCTGTCAAAGGAAGAGAGCCCTGATGACAGCTTGATTTTGGACTCCTGGCCTCCAGAACTATAAGACAATATATTTCTGTTGTTTTAAGCTACCAAGTTTGTGGTAATTTGTTATAAAAACCCTGGGAAATAAATACACATCCCAATTTGGGTGGCAATAAGTGCTATGGATGGGGAGGAAGAAAGCATGAAAGTATAATAGGAAGTGCTGCTGGAGATGAGAAATTTTAAATAAGATGGTCACAGAATCACCAAGTGAGGAAGAAATGTTTGAGCAAAAACCTGGAGAAGCTGTGAGAGTAAGATATATGGCTACTTTGGCAAAGAACATTCCAGGTAGAGAAACAGCAAGGGAAGATATGGAGTCTTGTGTAGTATGTTTGAGGGACATTGAAGAGACTGAGCAGCCAGAGCAGTGAGAAAAGGGTAAGCAGGTGATATGGTCTGGCTCTGTTTCCCTACCCAAATCTCATCTTGATTGTAATCCCCACATATCAAAAGGGGAACCTGGTGGGAAGTGATTGCATCATGGGGGTGGTTCCCCCATGCTGTTCTCATGATAGTGAGTGAGTTCTCACAAGATCCGATGGTTTTAAAAGTGTTTGGCAGTTCCCCTCCCACTTTCTCTCTCTCTCTCTTGCCGCCATGTTAGATGTGCCTTCCTTCCCCTTCGCCTCCTGCCATGATTGTAAGTTTCCTGAGGCCTCCCCAACCATGTGGAACTGTAAGTCAATTAAACGTTTTTAAAGTAAATTACCCAGTCTTGGGTAGTTCTTTATAGTTGTGTGAAAATGAACTAATACAGAAAATTCATACCAGGAGTGGGGCACTGCTATAAAGATACCTAAAAATGTGGAAGCAACTTTGGAACTGGGTAATGGGCAGAGGTTGGAACAGCTTGGAGGGCTCAGAAAAACACAGGAAGATGTGGAAAAGTTTGGAACTTTCTAGAGACTTGTTGAATGGTTTTGACCAAAATGCTGATAGTGATACAGACAATGAAGTCCAGGCTGAGGTGGTCTCAGGTGGAGATAAGGAATTTCTTGGGAACTAGAGCAAAGGTCACTCTTCCTATGCTTTAGCAAAGAGATTGGCAGCATTTTGCCCCTGCTCTAGAGACCTGTGGAACTTTAAACTTGGGAGAGATAATTTTCTGGTACCTGGCAGAAGAAATTTCTAAGCAGCAAAGCATTCAAGATGCAACCTGGCTTTTTCTGAAAGCATATAGTCATATGCTTTCATAAAGTGATGATCTGAAATCTGAACTTACATACAAAAGAGAAGCAGAGGATAAAAGTTTGGAAAATTTGCAGCCTGACTATATGGTAGGAAAGAAACAGGCATTTTCTGGGGAGAAATATAAGCCTGCTGCAGAAATTTGCATAAGTAACAGGGAGATGAATTTTAATCACAAAAACAGTGGGAAAAATGTCTCCAGGGCATCTCAGAAATTTTCACAGTTGCCCCTCCCATCACAGGCCCAGAGGCTTAGGAGGGATAAATGGTTTCCTGGGCCGGGTCCAGGGCCCAACTACTCTGTGCAGCCTTAGGACATGGAGCCCTGTGTCCCAGTCACTCCAGCCATGGCTAAATGGGGCCAACCTATGGTTCAGGCTATTGCTTCAGAGGATGTAAGCCTAAGCCTTACTGGTTTCCACATGGTGTTGGGCCTGCGGGTGTGCAGAAGACAAGATTTGAACTTTGGGAGCCTCTGTCTAGATTTAAGAGGATGTATGAAAGTGCCTGGATGTCCAGGCAAAAGTCTGCTGTAAAGGTGGAACCCTCATGGAGAACCTCTACTAGGGCAAATGCAGAGAGAAAATGTGGAGTGGAGCTGTAAGAAAAGGGCCATCATCCTCCAGCCCCCAGAATAGTAGCTCCACAGTTTGCACTGTGCACCTGGAAAAGCCACAGCACTCAATGCCAGCCCATGACTATTGGGGGAACCCTCCCCCAATATTTCAACGTAGGTTCTTTCTATTTTCCATAAGTGTCAGCCATCTGAGAAATAAAGAGAAAGAGTACAAAGAGAGGAATTTTACAGCTGGGCCTCCAGGGGTGACATCATATATCAGTAGGACTGTGATGCCCACCTGAGCTGCAAAACCAGCAAGTTTTATTAAGGATTTCAAAAGGGGAGGTGGTGTAAGAACAGGGAGTAGGTCACAAAGATCACATGCTTCAAAGGGCAAAAAGGAGAACAAAGATCACACACTTCTGAGGAAACAGGACAAGGGCAAAAGCAGAACTCCTGATAAGGGTCTATATTTAGCAGTGCACATGTTGTCTTGATAAACATCTTAAACAACAGAAAGCAGGGTTCAAGAGTAGTTTGGTCTGACCAGAAATTTACCAGGGCAGAGTTTTTTCCCCACCCTAATAAGCCTGAGGGTACTGCAGTACATCAGGGCATATTTCAGTCCTTATCTCAACCACATAAGACAGACACTCGCAGAGGGGCCATTTGTAGACCTCCCCCCAGGAATGCATTCCTTCCCCAAGGTATTAATTATTAATATTCCTTGCTAGGAAAAGAATTTAGCGATATCTTCCCTACTTGCACGTCTGTTTATTGGCTCTCTGCAAGAAGAAAAATATGGCCCTATTTTTCCCGACCCCGCAAGCAGACAGACCTTATGATTGTCTTCCCTTGCTCCCTGAAAACCGCTGTTATTCTCTTCTTTTCCAAGGTGCACTGATTTCTTATTGTTCAAACACACATGTTTTACAATCAATTTGTACAATAGTGGTTCTGAGGTGATGTACATCCTCAGCTACAAAGATAATAGGATTAAGAGATTAAAGTAAGACAGGCATAAGAAATTATGAGAGTGTTATTTGGGAACTGATAAATGCCCATGAAATCTTCACAATTTATGTTCCTCTGCCACAGCTCCAGCTGGTCCCTCCGTTCAGGGTCCCTGACTTCCTGCAACACATGAAAGCAGCCACAAGGGCTGTACCCTGCAGAGCCACTGGGGTAGAGCTGCCCAAGGCCTTGGGAGACCACCTGTTGCATAAGCATGCCCTGGACATGAGACACAGAGTCAAAGGAGATCATTTTGGAGCCTTAAGATTTAATGGGTGGCCTGCCAGGATTCAGACTTGCATGGGGCCTATAGCCCTTTGCTTTGGCCAATTTTTCCCATTGGGAATGGGGGCATTTGCCAAATGCCTGTACTCCCATTGTATCTTGGACATAACTAACTTGTTGTTGATTTTACAGACTTATTGGCAGAAGGGACTTGCCTTGTCTCAGATGAGACTTTGGACTTGGACTTTTGAGTTAATGCTGGAGTGAGTTAAGACTTTGGGGTACTGTTGGGAAGGCATACTTGTGTTTTGAAATGTGAAAAGGACATGAAATTTGGGAGACTCCAGGGGTGTAATAATATGGTTTCACTCTGTGTCTGCACCAAAATCTCATCTTGATTGTAATCCCCATTTTGTCGAGGGAGGGACCTGGTGAGAGGTGATTGGATCATGGAAGCAGCTTCCTCCATGCTGTTCTTATAATAGTGAGTGAGTTTTCACAAGATCTGATGGTTTTAAAAGTGTTTGGCAGTTCCTTCCTCACTTTCTCTTTCTCCTGCTGCCATGTAAGACGTGCCTTGCTTCTTCTTCACCTTTTTGCCGCGATGGTAAGTTTCCTGAGGCCTTCCCAGGCATGTGGAACTGAGTCAATTAAGCCTTTTTAAAATGAATTACCCAGTGTCAGGTAGTTCTTTATAGCAGTGTAAAAACAGACTAATACAGCAGGGTAGGAGATAAGATAAGAGAGACAAGAATAGGCCAGACACTGTTGAACCTGTAGCCACTGTGAGAAAATATTGGGTTTTACTCTGAATGAGATGGGAAACCATTGGTAGGTTTAGAGCAGTGGGGTGATATGATCTTTTTGCTTTAAAAGGATCACCCTAGCTTTTGGTGAAGAACAGGCTTGCATAAGGCAAGGGCAGGAGAAGAAAGAATATTTATGAGTCCATTATGGTATCATGGTGACACACAGCGGTGGATATGATGAACAGTAGTTGTGGAAATGGGGTGAAATGGTCTGATTTTAGATGTATTTTGAAGATGGAGACAATGCAGCATGTATATTCATGTCCATGTGGACCAGCTTGATAAAATATTCAGAGCACACTTTGCAAAGAGCTCTCATTAGTTAGATTTTGCTGCAAACAAACCACCCCAAAACTTAGCAGCTTAAAATTATTAAGTTTAAGTCTGTAGTTTGAAGTCTGTAGATTTGCTGGGCAGGTCTACTGATTATGTCTGGGCTTGCTCATCTGCCTGCAGTCAACTAGCAGGTCACTGGGAACATGCCTGTGAGGTCTTCCCTCCACCTGGTCTCTTATCCTCCAGCAGGCTGTCCTGACCTTGTCATATGGAGATCAAAGTGCTCTAAGAGAGGAGAAGCTTGACAAACCTCTTAAGATCTATACTCAGCATTCACATTCTATTGGCCCAAGCAAGCCCATATTCAAGAGGTAGAGCAATAGACTCCACTTTTTGATGAAAACACCTGAAAAGAATTGTGGCCTATTTGTAGTCTGTCACAGCTTTTTCCCTGAAACAAAAATAAATTTTAAAAACGACCTTTTCCAAACTATTTTTCCACTGCTTTTTTATAGCTGTTAACAGATGCAACTCATTTTATACATGTCACTATGAATTTTTATAAGAGGCAACTACAAATATGAAAAACAGTACCTCTATAACACTGATGGAAAGAGACAGTAAACCTGAGGAAGCACAAAAGATAGGATCATTTAAATTTTTTTAGAAGTTTTCATTTAAGCAAAAATACTAATATCCTAAGTCTACAGCTCAAAGCATTTTCACAAATTGAACACAGCCCATGGAACCAGCACCTGCATCAGAAGAAAAAGAATCACCAGAAACTACACCCCCATGTGCATTTCCAGTCATAATTCTAAGAGTAACTTTTGTCCTACTTCAAACAGCAGAGGTGGATTTTGCCAGATATTTTAGTTAAAAAAATGAATTAGACAATATGCAATTCTCTGTGTATAGCTTCTTTCACTCAATTTTATGTTTCTGAGATCTTTCCTGTTGTTCCATGTAGTTGTAGATAACACATTCTTATCATAGTATAGTATTTCACTGTGTGAAAATACTATTATTAGTCAGAATGGTGATTATTGAAAAGTCAAGAAACAGCAGATGCTCGTGAGGCTGTGGACAAATAGGAATGCTTTTACATTGTTGGTGGGAATGTAAATTAGTGCAACCATTGTGGAAGATATTGTGGTGATTCCTCAAGGATCTAGAACCAGAAATACTATTTGACCCAGCAATCCCATCACTGGGTATATACCTAAAGGAATATAAATAATTTCTTTATAAAGATACATGCATGCACACTTATGTTCGTTGCAGCACTATTCGCAATAGCAAAGACATGGAATCAACCCAAATGTCCATCAATGATAGACTGGATAAAGAAAATGTGGTAAATATGCATTACGGAATACTATGCAGCCATAAAAATAAGTGAGATCATATCCTTTGCAGGGACGTGGATGAAGCTGGAAGCCATCATCCTTACCAAACTAACACAGGAACAGAAAACCAAACACTGCATGTTCTCACTCATAAGTGGGAGTTGAACAAGGAGAATACATGGGCACAGGGAGGGGAACATCACACACCAGGGCCTGTCGGGGATGGGGAGGGGAAGGGAGAGCATCAGGATAAATAGCTAAGGCATGTGGGGCTTAATACCTAGGTGATGGGTTGATAGGTGCAGCAAACCACCATGTAACACATCTACCTACGTAACAAACCTGCATGCTCTGCACATGTATCCCAAAACTTAAAATAAAATTTTAAAAAAGAGAAAATACTATAATTTATTTATCCTTCTCACTCTTTTTGTATAGTGTCCAGTTTGGGACCATCAGGAATAGCATTGCATGGATATTCTAGTACATATCTTTGCTGAACCTATAGATGTATTTCTGTTGGGCATATAACTAAGACTGGAATGCTAAATCACAGGATATGAATATGCCCAGCCTGATAACATATTGTGAAATAGTTTTTCAAAGTGGGCTGTACCAATTTACACTCCCATCAGCACTGTATGAGCAGTTGAGAAGGTAGTTTTAAATGATTAAAACTTCTAAATTAAGTGGAAACATTCTATTATAAAGAGACATGCATGCATATGTTCAGTGCAGCACTATTCGCAATAGCAAAGACAGGCAATCAATCTAAATGCCCATCAATGATAGGCTGGATAAAGAAAATGTTGTATATATACACCATGGAATACTATTTAGCCATAGAAAGAATGAGATCATGTCCTTTGTGGGAACATAGATGGAGCTGGAGGCCATTATCCTTAGCAAGGTAACACAAGAACAGAAAACCAACTACCACATGTTCTCATTTATAAGTGGGAGTTAAATGATAAGAACACATGAATGCATAGAGGGGAATAACACACACTGGGGCCTATCAGAGGGTGGAGGGTGGGAGAAGGAAGAGGATCAGGAAAAACAACTAATGGGTACCAGGCTTAATACGTGGGTGATGAAATAATCTCCACAACAAACCTCCATAACACAAGTTTACCTATGTAACAAACCTGAATTTGTATTCCTGAACTTAAAATAAAAGTTAAAAAAATCAAATGAAAAGTTTTTTTCCAAATGGAAAAAAATTCCATGCTCATGGATAGGAAGAATCAATATTGTGAAAATGGCCATACTGCCCAAAGTAATTTATAGATTCAAAGCTATTCTCATCAAGCTACCATTGACTTTTTTCACAGAATTAGAAAAAACTGCTTTAAATTTCATATGGAACCAAAAAAGAGCCTGTATAGCCAAGACAATCCTAAGCAAAAAAACAAAGCTGGAGGCATCACACTACCTGACTTCAAACTATACTGCAAGTCTACAGTAACCAAAACAGCATGGTACTGGTACCAAAACAGATATACAGACAAATGGAACAGAACAGAGACCTCATAAATAACACCTACACATCTACAACCATCTGAACTTCAACAAACCTGAAAAAAGCAAGCAATGGGGAAAGGACTCTCTATTTCATAAATGGTGCTGGGAAAACTGGCTAGCCATATGCAGAAAAGTGAAACTGGATGCCTTTCTTACACCTTATACCAAAATTATCTCAAGATGGATTAAAGGCTTACATGTAAGACCTAAAACCATAAAAACCCTAGCATAAAACCTAGGCAATACCATTCAGGACATAGGCATGGGCAAAGACTTCATGACTAAAACACTGAAAGCAATTGCAACAAAAGCCAAAGCAGACAAATGGGATCCAATTAAACTAAAGAGCTTCTGCACAGCAAAAGAAACTATCAGCAGAGTGAACAGGCAACCTACAGAATGGAAGAAAACTTTTGCAATCTATCCATCTGACAAAGGGCTAATATCCAGAATCTACAAGGAACATAAACAAATTTACAAGAAAAAAAAAACCCCATCAAAAAGTGGGCAAATGATATGAACAGACACTTCTCAAAATAAGACATTTATGGAGCCAACAGACATATGAAAAAAAGCTTATCAACACTGGTCATTAGAGAAATGCAAATCAAAACCACAATGAGATACCATCTCACGCCAGTTAGAATGGTGATCACTAAAACGTCAGGAAACAACAGATGCTGGCGAGGATGTGGAGACATAGGAACACTTTTACACTGTTGGTGGGAGTGTAAATTAGTTCAACCCTTGTGAAAGACAGTGTGGCGATTCCTCAAGGATCTAGAACTAGAAATACCATTGACCCAGCAATCCCATTACTGGGTATATATCGAAAGGATTATAAATCATTCTACTATAAAGACACATGCAAACATATGTTTATTACAGCACTATTTACAATAGCAAAGCCTTGGAACCAACCCAAATGCCCATCAATGATAGGCTTGATAAAGAAAATGTGGCACATATATACCATGGAATACTATGCAGCCATAAAAAAGAATGAGTTCTTGTCCTTTGCAGGGATGTGGATGAAGCTGGAAACCATCATTCTCAGCAAACTAACACAGGAACAGAAAACCAAACACCACATGCTCTCACTTATAAATGGAAGTTGAACATTGAGAACACATGGACACAGGGAGGGGAACATCACATACCTGTGCCTGCCAGGGGGTGGGGGTGCAAGGGGAGGGAGAGCATTAGGACAAATACCTAATGCATGCGGGGCCTAAAACCTAGATGATGGGTTGATGGGTGCAGCAAACCACCATGGCACATGTATACCTATGTAACAAACCTGCATGTTCTGCACATGTATCCCAGAACTTAAAGTATAATTTAAAAAAAAGAAAGAAAAGTTTATTTTCATAATGAGAAATTCATATCACATTAAAATATAATAATATAATAAAATATTTTAAAAGTAATTATAATGTAGATACTTTATATTTACACATGAATACAAACAACTGGGACTAAGAGTTATTATTATAATCTTATTTTTATGTTTATTTAGGAAGTTACAGGATAGTTACCTCTGTACCCATTAGGAAGAAAAATTGGGGGATATAAATAAATACCTTTATGCTTGAGTTTGGAAACCACTTGGAAGAAGTTGTAACATCCAAGGATTGTGAATATTCAAACACAGTATATCTAGTCTAATCTATCTAAAATTACAACTCTGGAAATTTAGATTGCAAATAATACCCAATTAACACTCCTGAAAAAGCCTCTCACACATAGAAAGACAAAAATTTACAGGTATATTGATAATTAGCTATATAAAGGAGCTCTTAACATTTAGTTTGTGCTTGTCTCGCAAACTGGGAAAAGAGAGCTGATGAGAATCCTCAGCACAGTCAGTACAACAAACTTAAGATGAGCAACACGGTCAATGGCTGTGATGCTGCTCTAAGAAAAGACATAGAACTTTCCATGTGTCCTTGCTGCCCCAAATATGTAGAGATATGTTCATTTCCAATAATGTTTTACACTCTAAGAAAATCAGAAGCAGTTGGGCCAATGAAAAGTAACTTCCTACCTCTGGTGACAGTGACAGCATGGCACGTGGGGTTATTATAGGTATAAGTAAGCTGAGCCCTGGTCACAGGAAGGGAAGCTGTGAGAACTATCCTGCTTGCCCAGATAATGTTTTGAGTTCCAACACTTGAATAGACATCTAAAGTCAGGGCCAAGAATGGTTAAAACACAGCCAAGAGGCTGGGTGCGGTGGCTCACGCCTGCAATCCCAGCACTTTGGGAGGCCAAGGCGGGCGGTCAGGAGTTCGGGACCAGCCTGACCAAAGTGGTGAAACCCCGTCGCTACTAAAAACACAAAAAAATTAGCCAGGTGTGGTGGCGGGTGCCTATGGTCCCAGCTACTCAGGAGGCTGAGGCAGGAGAATCACTTGAATCCGGGTGGCAGAGGTTGCAGTGAGCCGAGATCACGCCATTGCACTCCAGCCTGGGTGACAGAGCGATACTCCGTCTCAAAAAACAAACAAACAAACAAACAAACAAACAAAAACATAGCCAAGAGAGCTGTTATTTATTCTCTCTAATCACCTGTACCCTGAGAGTATGAGCAGACTGCATCCTTCCTAGGAACCAAGAGTGGGAAATTGGGGACTGCTTTCCTATTTTGTCCACTATAACTTAATTAACTGTTTTTTTTTTTCTTAAATAGATCCCTATGTTAACAATCTACTACCTTGTATATAGTGGGTTTCTCTAACCAGATCCCTCTAATCTGGGAATGATCACCAGACCGAAGCCCAAGACTGGCACTGCCTAATGCCATAGTCTGGGCTGAATGAAACAATTATAAGGAAGGAAACTGGTCCTGTTAAAACTTATTTTGATTTGATTTCATGAAAGAAAAGATCTGGAAAAAGATAGGAAGATGCTTTGAACCTCTGTATTGAATCTTGGCAAATTTCACCTTAGTTAAAGATGAGCTAGAGCAATGACAACAGCACATACCTATGGACACGAGGAAGCCACAGCGTGGAAAGACCAAGGGAAAGAGTGTATTTCTGAAAATGGCATATGGCAGAATCTACAGGAAATTCAAGGAAACTGTTTTGCATTCTCCCAAGAGTCCAAGGATTTATGGCTTTTATCATTAAAGTACATAGTCAGGGAAAAAATAACATGACATATATGAGATGAAGAGTCTAGTGTATAAACAGGAAACAGATTATTAAGAAATGTTTTAGATGCAAGCAGTGGAGGTTTGACTCAAGCTGGATTAAACAGTAAGGAGAATGTATTGTCTTGAGTAACCTAACAAAGGATGGACACATTTTAGGCGAGCCTTGATCCTCAGGTCGGTTGTATCTCCAACATCCCGTTTCCTTTTATCTGTCTTTCTGCCTTCCACGTAGTTTGGTTCCACTTGGAACTGACTTCTTTGTGGTCATAATATGTCTGTCAGCATCTTCTGGGACCCCAGACTTCTTCTAGTAGGAAGAGAATGCCTCTCCTGGCACTTATTTCAAACAAACAGACATTTCTTTCCTAGAAACCCTTATAAAATTTCTCCTCAGGTGTTATGGGTTAGAATTTAGTCATATGTCCATGCCTTCCCCTGAAACCATCTCTATGCCCAAGAGACTGAAACATGCTAATGGGCTTAAGCGAGTCAGGGATTACACCTGGGACCAGAAATGGAATCGACCTCCAAAGCTCATGGGCTACACAAAGGAGAGTACATACCTGAATTAAAATTGTGATTCTGTTACCAACAGGAGTGTGTTAGTCCGTTTTCACGCTGCTGATGGGAAATTTACAAAAGAAAGAGGCTTATTGGACTCACAGTTCCACATGGCTGGGGAGGCCTCACAATCATGGCAGAAGGCAAGGAGGAGCAAGTCACATCTTACGTGGATGGCAGCAGGCAAAGAGAGAGCTTGTGCAGAAAAACTCTCGTTTTCAAAACCATCAGATCTCATGAAACCCATTCACTATCATGAGAACAACATGAGAAAGACCCAACCCCATGATTCAATCATCTCCCACAGGGTCCCTCCCACAACACGTGGGTATTATGGGAGCTACAAGATGAGATTTGGGTGGGGACACAGAGCTAAACCATATCAAGGAGGGAGCAGTTGATGCTGAATGGCTCAAAATAGTACATACCCACTATACTACTTCATTTTGGTTGTGTAAAACCCTCATTTATTTTACTTCCCAAGATGAATGGGGAATTTCTAAAATGCTCATGCTAAAAAAACAGAAACAAAACAGAATAAAACCAAACACACACACACACACTCACAACTTCTCACACTACTGCTGAATGGAGATAACATAGAGTCCCATCGATCACATCAAGCTCCAGGTCTAAAATAAAATATCAAGCAGTCCTGTTCATATGTGCAGATAAAATTGTTGGTTTTTTTTTCCTTTTAAAATGTCTTAAACTTGGAAACAGACAAAATAAACTTTGATTGCCTCTTTTTGTTTCTGGGAGGATCTCCTGTTCATTGTCTCCCATGGTTACATGTGAGTTACACAACAGGGAAATTTGTTTTTCTAAGCATGCTCTGCTCACCAAGGGCATCTTCACTGGTTTATTTAAGTATTCAAACTCAAAAGACTCCCGAAGGCCACATTAGCCACCAATGACTCAGAAGGATATCAGATAAGAACAGCTGCTATTTAGTAAGACAATGTCAGGCATTTCTCTCAGCAGAAGCTTTTGCATCAGCAATCTGTGTACTGGTCCACATAGCCGCCCACAGGCTGTCCTCTTCATAGGTGACAATTTAGATCAAAGGTTGAGATTCACATTGGAGGGTGCAGGGATTTTCCTAACTTAAAAGCCACATGATCCATAGGAACCAGTATGTCCTATAAGAACTGCAGGGACATAGATTGCAGGATTCTCATAACAGGGACGTGCCCCTTATAAGAATCACCAAACACACCAAAAAATTGCCATGCCTATTAGAATAACTATTTATAATTATTTTATTGTTACTCCAAGTCCAGATGTAACTTAACAATCAAGAGTCCTTTTTTGTTTTGTTTTGTTTTTTCAAAATCATTGTGAACCAACCATACAGTTGACACATTCCATCTTAGCTAGTTTCCAGGTTAACAGAGTCAAAATCACATAACTAAACAGTCCAGAGCACTTAAATGAAGGTGCTTCCTCGCTGATCTACAAGGGACCATGGTGTTTTAGAAACCCACTTCTCAGTTCACTTTTAGCATTCTGCAGACACTTTAGAAGTTGAGTTAAGCAGAGGCTATTAGCAATCTGGCGTGGAATTTCTCTGTCAATACTACCACACATTTCTCTGTCAAAACTCCCACAAATGTATAGTGGGGTTTTATTCTCTTTGGTCCCATCAATTTGGGCTAGTGACCAAAGTGAAATACTTGATTCTAAAATTAGGTTTGGGAATTTCTGCATGGCCTAGAAATGGGCCTTCAATGTTCATTCCCCTGTTTCTCTTCAATGACGTACACTTTGTCTTCTACCCCTGAAAAAGAAGAAATAATGATCCCATGAGGACTCACTAATAAGCTGCACTTGGCCCCGGGGCTGTATGTCTGTGAATAAATGACCTTCTATAACAGGAATAACAACTTTGTGTCAGGAATAACGTGTATTTCAGAAGTTCCCTGAATGGAGTTACTTTGGGCTACAACTAGAGAGTTTAGCTTTTTTCTTCATGCCAGCTCAAGACTACCGGGGTCTTTGACAGTTTGGATTGCTGGTTAAAGGCAAAAAAAAAAAAAGCTTCATTTGGACAAGGGAGACCTATGTGCCATCCCCCTCTGCCTTCAGACACTGACAGTCGAAGGTCATTTCTTTCTATCGGAACCACAAGAAGTACTTAATGTACTCTGATAGTCTAAAATTTTCCTATCAAGTCTATTTTCCTATCTATCCTATCTATCAAGCTAGTTTCATAGTCTGACTCACAAGACAGCATAGGTGGCATTTTAACCAGCTGTTTTGCAAACACGTAATGCAGATCACTAACGTCCCAGCATGGGAAAGAGACATGCCCACGACCCTCCATCCTATCTCATTGTAGCCGATCTCACCTCTTAGGGCCTCCTTGCCTCACGCATCTCTGGTACCAGATTAATTATCAGTTAGGAACCTTTCCAATATAAGTAACAGAAAATTCAGCTCAAAGTGGCTAAAACAATAGACTGTATTCGTTCACATAACTAAACAGTTCTGATGCCACAGGTGAAGAGGCTAACTCACTGATCCTCAGTGCACAAGGTCAGCGGTTACATTCCAGCTGGCTTTCTGTGCTGTGTATCATATAAAGGAAGTCCCTCAAGGGCTTGGCCCCTTGCGAGGAGGGGACTCCATGGCTTTTCCTCACTCTTGTGCTGAGTCTTCTCCCTCTGTCTTTATTTCTCTTCCCAAAGCCATCCTCCTTATCAAAACTCTCCGCTAAACCCCAGTTCCCCCGCCCACCCCATCTTCCAATTCCTCTTGGTGAAAATGCAGCCCCTTCTACCGGGAGGTCTTGCTGCTCCTCAGATCTTTTCTTGCCCAAAGCTTCAGCCAGACAAGCCTTAGTATTCACTGCCATTCAATCCCTGAGGATGAACGTGGGTTCTCTAATTAAAATTCAATTTTTTTACCAGTGCTAACCTCCAGCCTGCTTGTTCCATTTCTAGATTGCCTGTTAAATAACAACAATTTTCAAAGAAAAATGTTGACTTTAATCAGAGAAAATACAGGACACTGATTGTTGGGCTCCAGCCATGGCCTTCAATCAGCGGCTATTAGTAAGTGTTTTGAGAGGCACCTTTGAATTGGTCTCCCTGGAACTCAATGTCTATTTTATAGACTGTTTGTTTGTTTCAGGATGCATCTAACAAAAATATTTTGACTTAAGGCCACTCTTTGACAGAAACACAGACATATATATATATATATATATTTTTTTTTTTTTCTGGAGGGCAATTTAATATGTAGACCCTTTAATAAATAAACACATAGATAAGTAAGTATGACAAATATTTATTGCATGCTGAGGAAACAGAGTAATGGAATTCATAAATTCCATTTATGAATTTTAAACTTGAAGCTAGAGAAACACAGTATACACATGTTGACTTCAGATTATAAAAAAGTAGCATGAAGAAAATAAAGAGAATATATTGATTCTATTAGTCAGGTTCTTGCCAGGAAACATAGTTTATCTCAGATGATTCCAATGAAGAGATTTTAGTGAAGGCACCACTTACAGAGATGTGAACTGGGATACAGGAACAAACAAGGGATGCTGAGGCACCCAGAGACCAGCAACATTAGGAAGCCATTAACATCTCTAAGAGCTGGCAGAACAGGCAGCTCTTCTAAGAGCTGGAGGGATTCAGTTATGCTAGAGACATAGTATAAAGCACAGGGAGAATTGGAAGGAAATCCTGCTATCTCAGTCTCCTTTTGTTCTTTTATCTCCAAAGGGAGACTGAGATAGCAGGATTTCCTTCTAATTCTCCCCATGCTTATTCTGTTGGCTGAATCTATCCAGAAACCAGGCAGCAAAAAAAAAGTTGGGAGATGTAAATGATAGGACCCAGTCTCTTGGGGAAAGAAAAAGTCAGAGAGCAGATTTGGGGTAGTGGGGCAGGGCAGGTCAGGGTAAGCATAGACTGCTTTAGGAACAATGATCAAGGGAAGGACAGGAGGAGGTAGCATTGTACACAAAGCCCAAATGATGAGCTGGAGCCAGCTGTGGGAAGTATAGGGCAGTGGCTGCAAAAACCTGTCTCTGGGCTAGACTTCTGATTTGAAGCTAGTTCCTGGTGTGTAAACTTGGATGACTTTACCCTCTCTGTGCCTCAGTTTCCTCATAATTGAAACAAAGCTAATAATCACACCGATTCCATTGCATTGTTTTGAAAACTCCATTAAATACAGATAAAGTACTTAGACCCATGCTTGGTATATAGTCAGCGCTCAATGAAATATTATTTTATTTGTATTTGGGCAAATGTTTATGAGCAGAGCAAGTACTGAGTGTAAAAGTTTGTAGTGAGAACTAGAGTAGCATGTCCCATGAATAAGGCTGATAATGATGTGGTTAAAGTAAAACTTGCAGTATAGGAATTCCAATTAGAAACTTATACTAAGAAAATGAAGTTATGTAAAAGTAAAAATGGGATGCTCATTGCAATGTTGTTTATAACAGAAAAATCAGGGAATGGGACAGCATTTCAAAAAATATAGTTCAATGGAGTAAAATGTAGCATATTCTTATATTGGAAAAGGTAGCTAATGACATGGAAAGTGGCGTATAGTGATGATATATTATTGTTAGCTCAGCAATAATATAAATTACATATTTAGATTTAATATTATAAATTTAATGATTTATATTTAATAATATGAATTAAATATAATTTAATTGCACTGCACTCCAGCCTGGGTGACAAAGTGAGATCTTGTCTCCAAAAGAAAACAAACAAACAAAAAGATGTCTGGTGTAAAACATGGCTTTTGTAGGAGGAGGCTGGCCATGATTTACTTGATATTAAAAATTATCAGAGATCTTCTGGATCAGAGCAGCTTCATCAATCTTTCCTTTTGTTATGTTGTCATGGTAACAATAGGGCTCAGGCTAAAGCAGCCCTTATAGTTCAGTGTAAATCATATTTAACATTTGAGAAGTTTCCCCTTTTGACTCATGCTTTGACTGAGACGTTGAAAGATCCGCATGGTGTGCTGAGACAATATGGTCAATAACGATCTTGATCCTAAAATCTAGATATACTAAAATTTAAAAGGTGTTTGTCTAGGAGTGGATGGCTTGCCGGGTTTTTGTATCTCTTCCTCTTCACCCTGACCTTGCTTCTTCTTCACTACAGTGTATTTTCTACTTTTTTTCCTGTTTAAAAATGCTGTATCACTTGTTTTTAAGATAAAATAATTCCCTGTCCCCTCCACCCTGCAGATTAAAATGCTAATCTGATGCTGTTGGCCTCCTCTTCAGAACACCTCAGTGTTTCTCTCCACCACCTGCAGTCAGAGGCAGGGTCCTGTGCTTCGCAGCATCGCTGTACCTCTCAGCGTCACCTGTACCTCTCAGCATCGCCTGTACCTCTCATCATCGCCTGTACCTCTCAGCATTGCCTGTACCTCTCATCATCGCCTGAACCTCTCATTATCGCCTGAACCTCTCATCATCGCCTGTACCTCTCAGTACTGCCTGTACCTCTCATCATCACCTGTACCTCTCAGCATTGCCTGTACCTCTCAGCATCACCTGTACCTCTCAGCACCGTCACCTGATACTCCCAACTAGCACTTGATGTTCTCAATCTTCCTGTAGTTTCCAAAACACAACTTGCTGTTTCAGGCCTCCTTGTCTTTGTTCAGGCTGTTCACTGGGCCTAAAGTATCACTTCCTCTTCAGCTATTCGTATTTTTTATTCTTCTAGTTTATTTAGGCATCACCTCCTCCAAGAACCTTACTCACTAGCAACCCCTCTTCCCACCCAAGCCACTCAGCTGTCCTATCATCTATTCTCTGAACTCAAAGAAGCAGGAATCTTGTGTCATTCATCACTGTGTCCCTAGAGCCTAGCATAGCACCTGGGATATAGTTGATGCTCAAGTAACATTGTTAAACTAAGCTGAACTGAATCAAGGGGGATTTGTGCTTCCTACAAGAGAGAAAAAGACAAAACATTTTTCTGGGGCCATGTACAGGTATTTTTCTGATACGATTCTAAATGTCTTGAAAATTTCCTTAAGAGAAGCATCCAGAAGGTCACACAAGCTGTTTCTAACTGACTCCACAAAGACTCAGCTATGAGTTGTTTGCTTTAGACAGACTGCAATCATAACATGGGCTCAACAGATCTAGAGGCTTTTTAAGGCATCAGCAAACATGTAGCATGCCACAAAAGCAGCAGGTGGGTTTATTGAGGGAGAGAAGCCAGAGTGTCAGCTTCTCAAACTCAAGATGTTAAAAACTCATCATTTTTTGATTCCTTCATCACTCACAAAAACAAAACAGACTCTAGTTTTCTCCAAGGTATCCAGTTTATTGTTTGTTCCCATTTTCCTTGCCCTCCACTTCAATTTATCTTCCCTACATTTTTTGATGCTGTGTGTCCTCCATCACCGTGTCCATCATCCACCTTCAGGCCACCATCATCTCACGTGAACGTGATGTCACATCCCTTCAACCTGCAGCCCTGTTTCTTTCCTATCATTCTCATCAAATAGCCTCACTACCAGCAGACATATCTTTCTAGAACACAGGTCTGATAATGAGTCTATGTGTGAAGAAGTCTTCAGTGTTTTCCCTGTTACCTACTGAATGAAATCTAAAGACCTGAGTTTGACATTCAATGTCCTCTACTATCCTCCACTATTTGCTTTTTTATGCGACTAAGCAAAATTGAGCCCATAACCCGAAATTCATCTAAAATACCCCAATTTCCATGAATATCAGTGATGATTTCTTCAACTGAAGGTCATATCGGACCCCTGAATGTTCTCATTTTTAAGTTTTTTTATGGTTTTAAGCCTTTTTGTTTCCTTTTTCTTTAACAGCATCCATACATGATTTATCATTGTGTATCCTCAAACAACTATCCTATTTTTTTGTGTATACAGAGTAAGCCATCTATAAATATTTGTTAAATAAGGCATTTGGGGCTAATTTCATAAACATTACTCCAAATAATATTTTTTGAGGCTACACATTAAATTATTTATAGTCAACTTCCCAATTGAAAAACTCTGTGGTTCTCTATAATTATTTAGCTTTATTGTGATATAATTGATATGTGAAATTTACATATTATATCTCAATAAAGCTAAAAATGTTAGATAATCAGAGTTTTTCTGCAATGTACAATTTAGAAAATGTACACAATGTACAACTAAAGACAAAATGTGCAATTTAATGTACACATTTCATTGAGCTTTGACATATGCATACACCAATTATACCATCCTTTACAAGGTATCTAAAGTAGTAAAAGTCATAGAAACAGAGAAGAGGGTGGTGGTTTTTAGGGGCGGGCTGAAGAGGGAAACAGGGAGTTGTTGCTTAAATGCTTAATTTTAGGTATCGACTAGGCAGGATTATGGAATATCTAGAGAACGGGTAAAGCACTGTTTCTGGGTGTGTCTCTAAGGATGTTTCCAGAGGACAGTAGTGTGCGAGTCAGTGGACTGAGTGGGGAAGATCTGTCTTTAATGTGGGTAGGCACCATGCAATCTGCTAAGGGCCAATTTGATAGAATAAAGAGGGAGAAAAGGATTGTCCTCTCTCTCTCTTTCCTAGAGCTGGGACACTCTCCGCACCCTGCCCTTCCACATCAAAACTCCATGCGCTCTGGCCTGGGACCCTGAGACTGCAGCACTTACACCAGCGCCCCCTGGACCCCCAGGTTCTCAGGCCTTCAGACTTGAACTAAAGATTAAACATTCTGCTTCCCTGATTCTGAGGTTTTTGGACTTAGACTGAGCCACAGTGCTGGCATCCCAGCAAGTCTGCAGCTTGATGGCTTGTTACCATACTCCTCAGCCTCCATAATTGTGTGAGCCAATTCTCCTAACAAATCCCCTCTCAAATTATCTATCTATCTATCTATCATCTATCTATCTATCTATCTATCTATCTATCTATCTATCTATCTATCTATCATCTATCTATCTATCCTCACACATATCCTATTGGTTCTGTCTCTTTGGAGAACCCTAACACATGGGCATAAAGTTTCACTTATGCAAGATGAATATGACATAGAGATCTGCTATATACAATACAATATTGTGCACTTTAAAATATGTTAAAAGGACAGATCTCATGTTAAGTGGTCTTACAAAAAAACACACACTCAAAAGAATACAAGTACATTTTTAGAAGTAATAAGATATGTTTGGTTCCTTGATTGGTTTGATGGTACCACGGTTGAATGTATATGTCTCTAATGTATTTTTCCAATTAGAACTGTTGTACATAACAGGCTACCCATCCTGATTATTCATCTCTGCCACTCAAAAATATTATCGTTTTTCTTGAAACATAATAATGCATCTCATGCTGTAGCTATTAGTTTATGTTCAGCTATACCAACAGTAGACTGTTGTATAGTATCAGAAAAAAACGTGTATTTTGTCTTATGTACACGATAAATAATTAGTCCAGGACAAATAAAATAGTGCAGTGACCTTCTGGGGAAAAATACTATCAATTTTCTCAAGTAGTGTTTGTTTGGTGTTAGTACCATCTAGTGGGAAATGTGAATAGTGTTCAAGAATTAAATCGGCATTGGAGAGTTAGTATTGAGACAGGCCTTGAACATTCACCTGGTCCAATATTCTCTATTATTCAAAGGAATAAACTGAGATTTAGAAACTTCAAGGACTTTCTCAAGATTTAGGTAAGGCTGAGCACCTATTATGTGAAATAAACTGTTAGGTGAAATGCAAAGAATTGTGTTTACCACCAACATGGAGATATAAGATATTAGTAAGTAAAATGTGATGATAAAATATTTGAATTATTCAATATGAGTAAAAAACTACTAATAAAATGAACACAAATTTCTATAAGAACTCAGAAGAGTAAGAAAAACATGCTAAACGTGCCGTGAGTAAAAATGCAGTTTTAGAAGAAGCGTAATTTGTGTTAAATCTTGAAAGCTGTGTAGGATTTGGATAGCTAGAGAAGCAAGGAAGGAATATTTAATGCAATGGAAAGGAGAGAAAAGGAGATATTCAAGGAACAAAAAGCAAAAGAGTAAGATGAGAAAGTAAAAGGGCATTAACTAATTTAAGTGAAATAGGTATGAGTAAATCAATTTGATATGAGAAGATAAAGAATAAATCACAAACTCTAATCACTAAATTGGGTCAGTGTAATGAAGGACTTTGTAATTCAAAGGCACAAAGCTTGGAATTGGTAATTCAAGTTCTTAAAGTAGCAGTGGTTACAGTTTCAAATTATGACTACATATCAATAATTTTTTAAAAGGCAAATATCTTAATGGTTTATGAAAGAGTACTTCTGGCTTGAAATAAGATTTCCACTAAAGGAACACACATTGATTCAAAAGGTGTTATATTTCAAATAACTTAAAGGGAAGTGAAAATGATGTGCTTTGGAAAATTGTGTTGGATGATTCACAAAGTAGCTCTGATGACAAAGACACTAAGGTCAAAGACGTAGGTGAAAAGTTAGAATGAAATTGTGGCATGAAGTCCAGCTGAAAAAGGATTCTGACTAAATCATTCAACTTTATTAAGTATTACATGTGACTTAAGTGTGGAATAAAATGAATAAATGAAATAGAAACATAAAAAGAAGTGTAGTAATAACTGCCATTTATTGCTTTTTGGCATTATTGGGATTGTGCTTTACTCTGTCTCAGTTATTTTTGATATGTTCTGCATTCCTCACATTTTTATAACATATTTTTTGTATAATCAGAAAAATACATTTTTCAAAACTGAATAAACAAAGAAGCTTTTTGCATTTAATTTTTCTTTAAAAGTTATACATTGACATGGTTTAACATTCTCAGGAGTATATAGTGAAGGAGTTTTTCTTGCTTGCCCGTGTCTTGGGAATGGATCTTGACTCCTGGGAGACACAGCGTAAAGGGAAAGCCATAAATCCAACATTATTATTTTTCTAGCACTTTTAGTGGTTTCGGTATGTTTATTGAGTAATCAAACTTTGCCTTACTGATTTGTGATGTCATAATCATCATAAACAAAATTTCAACATATATTGAAAATTATGTGCTTTATAATTCAACATATATTGAAAATATGTGCTTTACTTAAAATCTTTTTATTCTGATCCATTGATGTGTCTCTCTAACCATGCACCAGTAACAGTCTTCAAATCACTCTGATTTTATAATGTTTGAAAATACAAAAGACCAGGATTCCTCATAACTCTTCTCTTATAGAAGTGTCCTGCTGTTCATTCTTTTTTCTTTTCCATGTGATTTCAGCATCATCCTGTCTACAGTTAAAACAAATCCAGTTGCAACTTTCACTGGGTTTGCATTATAATTATTAAATTGCTTAGGGGAAATTGGCATATTTATAATGTTCAGTCTTATTCAAGAACATGGTCAAGTTTGTTGCTTTAGTAAGCACTGTTACTAAGCTTTTTTCAGATAGTATTTACATGTTTTGTTAAATTTTGGAAATTTAATTTTCTTATTTTATTAGTAATTTGATTTTTTTGAATTGTGTTTAGAAAATAATGCAGGCATTCATTTTACTTTTGGAAATTAGGTTTATTTTAGGCTTGATATGTGGCCCTTCCTTCCTTCCTTCCTTCTTTCTTTCTTTTCTTTCCTTTCTTTCTTTCCCTTTCCTTATGAGTTTTCTACTGGCATTTAAAAAGAAGGTTCGGCCGGGCGCGGTGGCTCACGCCTATAATCCTAGCACTTTGGGAGACCGAGGTGGGTGGATTATCCGGGGTCAGAAGTTCAAGACCAGGCTGGTCAACATGGTGAAACCCCGTCTCTACTAAATATACAAAAATTAGCCTGGCGTGGTGGCAGGAGCCTGTAATCCCAGCTATTCAGGAGGCTGAAGCAGGAGAATTGCTTGAACCTGGGAGGCAGAGGTTGCAGTGAGCCGAGATCACGCCATTGTTCTCCAGCCTGGGCAACAAGAACAAAACTTCGTCTCAAAAAAAAAAAAAAAAAAAAAAAAAAAAAAGAAAAGAAGAAGAAGGTTCATTGTCTGTTTTCAGGTTTCAGAGACTGTGAAGTATTAATTATATCTATTTTGTTAATTATGCTATTTAGACCTCTATGTGTTTTTTCCCATAATCTGATACAGAGTGAAAACAGTTGAATTCCTCACTCCTGCTAGTTCTATGTTCCTATTACCTCTTGAGTCACTTCTAGATTTTGCTTTATAAAGGTTGACTTTATTTCATTTGAAGTTTATGTAGTTATAACTATAATATCTGCTGTGTTAATTATATTATTTGGTCTTATTACATGCTCTTATATGACATTAACTTTTTTGTCTGATATTAAGATTACAATTCTTGCTTTACTCTGATATTAAGATTACAATTCATAATTTTACTGTTTAAAAGTGTAATACTAAAGTATTGCATAGTGTCCCTAAGTACAAGAAAGCTGTGATGTGCTTTTACAGAGAAAATATAGGTGTTAAATAACCTTTGGCACACCATGAGTTCAATGTTAACAAGTCAACAATGTAGTACTTCCAAAAACAGAAACAGAAAAAAAGAAAAAGTATGCCACTACTCATGCTTTTCTTTTTAAATATTATAAATCTCTTTGCTTTAACTCTGTTTCTTGTGAACAGAGTAAAATTGAACTTTGTTATTTATATCGAAACTCTAAGTTACTTTAATAAGTGAGTTTGTCTATTTATAACTGAAATGTTTATTTTAGGATAGAGCATTGGATTTTATGTTAAGCTTGGTGGATTTGTAGCTTTAAAAAACATGTGTTGTATGTTTTATTTTTTGTGTCATTCTAACATTGAAGATTTAAGATCATTCTAACTTAAGATTTAAGTTTCATTCTGGAGGTTATGTTTTAGATCTCTAATTTTGTGCAATATCCTTAAGCTTCTGTTTCTTTACATTGAATTAATTACTTCCCACATGAATGTAATTACCTGTTATGGACAATAATGGAATTTGTCTATATACTCTTTATCCTGCCTTCCTGTCTCTCCTCTCTCATCTGATTTTAGTTGAGCATATTACCATTCTTAGTATTTATTCTTATCAATTAAATGTACTTATATCTGTTTTACTTGATTTGCCAGATTTAAGTGAAATACTTTTGCTCTCAGACATTAAAGATGAGGAAGTCAGCATTACACAATCTCCTATCTTCTTTTCTTCCATTTTTTGTCATTTGTACTTATTTCTATATTTTCAAGTCATGTTTTTGGCATTTGCATTCTGCCCTGCCAGCTAAGTCCTCATATTTACTTTCATCACAGTCCTACAAATAAAAAGATTCAATGCTCACTGCCACTTCTGTCACTGATTTTCTGGGACTGACATTCTTTGGTTTCTGTTATGTTCTATACTATTTGTGTCTTTTCATTTGTACAAACATTTGGCTGGGTAAAAAACTTGTGTGATACTTTCTTTCCTGGAGGATTTTTGTAAATGTTCCTTCACAAACTTTAGCTATGCTATTGGATATTGCTATGAAAATGTACAAATCTAGACTGACTCTATAAGTAGCTTTACTTTTGCCTAGCTAACCACATGATTCTCTCTTTATATTTTAAATTTAGTAACATTACTAGGATGTATCATTATACTTCCATTCTGTGTCAATTTCCCAAGGACATAGTTTGCCTTTTCAATATCTAGATTCATGTCTAATTTTTACTTCAGAAGAATATTCTTGAATTATAACTTAAACTACTTTTACTTTATGACTTAAATTTTCTAGAAAATGAACATATCAGCACTCTTACACCTATCTTCCACATTTTTCATGTGTCAATTTAAGAAAAAAAGACACCAGAGAAGATTATCTCCCAACAAAACAAATGTATTTGGGAGTAAATAAAGAGAATTATAATCTGGGATGTACTATGGCAAATACAGTGAGGGAAGAGTAAAGGAAAACTTTTATTGCCAATGGTTGAAGTTTACGTAAACTGCTCAGAAATAGAGTTCATTGGATTCATTGGCTCAAAGCCAGAGATATTGGTTCATTGGTGGAGATGCTATTACTCGGCAAGTGTTAAGGGAACATCTTATCGGAATTGCTGCAATCCTAAAGAATGTTTAGTGATAAACCTTATCATAAAAGTATGTGTATATATGAGAAACATGCAAGAATTTCTCGTGGGGTTATTTTTTAAAGTCCTTTAGACTGTGTGTGTGTGTGTGTGTGTGTGTGTGTGTGTGTGTGTATCTCAGACAAGTAAGCATGAGTTCCTTTCCTTCATGCCCTCCTGACCCCAATTTGTGTGTGTTTGACTGGTTACTTCATCCTGGTATCGGCAGCTTTCACATTTCCCCATTCTGATCAAGATCTTTCTCCAAAAGCATTGCTAATTCATTTTCATTCTCTATTTCAATTTGGGTATACTTGCTTTTATTATTTATATGCTCAATATTCCTTTGTGTGTTTCCAGCAATGTCTCTATTCTCCTTATACCTGTTCCAATTTCAACTTTATTTCTGAAGTATTTTTGTACAAAATTTCATTTCTACTTTAAAATTTGTGTGATCATACTTTATTTCTTTTTTATTATACTTTAAGTTTTAGGGTACATGTGCACAACGTGAAGATTAGTTACATATGTATACACGTGCCATGTTGGTATTTATTTCTACTACATCAAGATATTTGAGTATTTTTGAGTCTCTGCAAAGTCTTGAGTCTCTGAAAGCTCTTCTTATTTTGTAAAGAAAAGGGCTTCCTTTCAGAAGTGTTTGCCTACCACATTCATCTGTATTGTAAAACAAAATTCTCTTGTGATTTTTTTTAATCAGCCATTAAGTTTTCCAGCTTTTTCCTTGTAGAATAATTTGTAGATGCAGATATTCTCTTTATTTACAGATTCCGTATTTGTAAATATGCCTACTTGCTAAAATGTGTTTGTAGCCCCAAATCAATACTCAGGCTACTTTTGTGGTTATTCAAGGGCGTGTCCAGTGTGGCAAACATTTGAGTCTCCAGATGTGCATGTTTCTGGCTGAGATCAAACAGGACAACGCTCTGTCTTCTTGGTTCAGCTCTCAAACTGTAAACTAGCGTTCTTTCTGCAGGCTACCCCGGTGCCACATTTTCCATGTTCTTGTGCTTTTTGTTGATAATTTTACTGTTTAAAATGGCCCTCAAGTGTAATATTGAAGTGTTATACAGTGTTCCTAAGCACAAGAAAGCTGTAATGTGACTTTACAGAGAAAATAAATGTGTTAGATAACCTTTGGTACCGATTTAATGTTAACAAGTGAAAAATACAGTACTTCCAGAAAAAAAAAAAAGAGAAAATTTACCAATCTGTATGTGAGACTACTCAAGAAAGTGCTAAAGTAGCAACTATAGTGTGCTATGAAGCTATGGCAGAGATGAGTGACTAAATGTGTGCATGCATAAAATAACAGCTAATAAAAAGAAAACAAATAACAGTCACAACAGCAAAACCACAGTGGGCAGCACTATTGTGAGGTTGAAAGCCAAAGAAATTTATGATCATATTATCTAAGATCAAGAAAATCTTAAACCCTTCTCAGCTAGTGCTGGCTGGGTCACATGTTACCAAAGGAAATGCAGCATGGAAAATGTTAAACTTGCAGGAAAGATAGGTTCTGCAGGTAAGAAAGCTGGAGAAGAATTTTTAAAATAAAGGCTAAGTGTTATACAGAAAAAGGATTACATGGACGAGTTGTTTTTCAACACTGATGAAACCAGCTTGTTTTACAAGGATATTGGCAAAGGAACTCATATAATGTGAATGCAAATTGTATTTAAGTTGATGAAATGCTGCTGTGAAAGGTTTGCAGGACTGTAACCCTGTATTTATTTCCCCTAGGAGCAATAGCTGAGGTTTTGTTAATTCCCCTCAGAGCAATAGCTGAGGTGATTGTATAGAACATAATCCCTGTAAATAACAAGAATTACATTATTCTGGTTTTCTTTATTTTTAAAGCAGATGACTTTATTCCCCAGACAAGCATGTTTCCAGGGATTTGTATGATGGAAGAGCCAAAACCAACAGAACATTTCCTTATGATCCAGGGTTTTCAGTGTGTTTGAGCTTTACTTTCTCACAGCCAGGGAGAGTGTGCAACTTCAGGTTTTGTTGTTGTTGTTGTTGTTTTTAACAATAAAGAATATCTTCTTTTAGCCTTTTCTACAAAGATAATCCTTTTCATGCAAATGACACTTGCGGCATGGCTCCATATTTAGTCCATCTCTTCTACTTTCTGATCCAAGCCAGCTCCCTGGATGATCTTCCAAGAAACATTCCAAGCCAAATTCAGTAATTGCTTTAGCTTACTGCGTAGAGAGAGGTAGAGAGAACTCACCCTGTGGTCTCATGAAGTTCAGGAGAAACAGTTCAACTTCCTAAATGCTAAGCTGATTAGTATTAACATGGCAAGGTACCAGAGGAGAAAGACATCTCAGAGAGATCGAGTTAGAGATAGAGAGAGACAGACAGAGAGAGAGAGAGAGAGAGAGAACTTTGACAGAGAGACAGAGAGAGAGAGAACTCCAGATATCTTCAGAGAGTTCTCCTCAAACCTGTGGCTGAATACTGATCAGCCCATCTCTATAAGAAAACAAATGTGGCTGGGGAAAAACCATCAGAAACAAACAGGGAACAGTTATTCTCAGAGCTCACACCAGGCCAGGAAGAGTTCATGTCCCCATCAGCTAGAGTGAAACACCTCTTAACATATGGCCATTGAATAGAGTCCTGGAAAGTGGCAATAAACAATGGCATCAATAGTTGGATTCAATGGTGGTAATAAGAATAACCCCAGATTAAAGACTGCTGTGGGCTTAACAAGGATTGCTAGCAAGCCCCAAAGGTCATTCTTAATGGGAAATTATTAAGTCTTTCACTTTCACCATGTGAAGGGGTTGCTGCTTATTCCTAGTTTGATGGAAGTTTTATTATGAGTAGATTAATTCAATTTTTTTTCCTTTCTATTGTGAAATTTTTAAATATATAGAATTTTAATAGAATAATATAATGAACACCCATATCTCCTTCTACATTAACTAATTCTTAATTGTTAATATTTTGACATTTTCTATATATTTATTATCCATTTATATTGCTTCCTCTTGATACAGATATAGATGTAGATATAAGATATAAATACATCAGTGGATATATATATTATATATATGCTGAATCACTTAAAAGTACGTTTTAGACATTGTGAGTAAATCTTAATAGAATATATGTACACGTACATGCACACACACACACCCCTATATACCACGGAATAATTTAGCAAGTATTTTCTAAGAACAAATATTAAATACAATATCATTATCACACTCATGAGTTTAACATTAATATGATAACACTATCTAAAAATGCCTCTTTGGGTTTCTATCTTGTTATTCAATTCAGGATCTAATCAAAGATTGTTTCAGAGCATTTAGTTTCTTACCTGTTTAGTCTAATTTTATCTCAAACCATTCTCTTACTCTTTGTCTTTCATGTCATTGGGATTCTTTGAAGAGTGCAGTCTACTTGTTTTGTAGAAGGTCCTGAAATTTGGAATCCTCATATCCAGATTCAGATAAAGCTTTTTTGGAAGTAATTCTACATAGACATGTTGTATGCTTCTCAGTGCATCACATCAGGAGACATATGATGTCAGTGTGCCCCATTATTGATAATGCTATTTGGTGATTTGTTTAAGTGTTTTCCACCATTTCTTCATTGTAAGGGTATCTTCTCCTTTGGGAATTCATAAGTACTCTACAGCATGAATCTGGGAGACTACCTGAAGATCCTGTCAGAGGTGTTTAAACCAGAGAAACTCTATCTTGAATAGGGGCTGTGTAAAATAAGGCTGAGACCTACTGGGCTGCATTCCCAGGAGGTGAAGGCATTCTTAGTCACAGGATAAGACAGAAGGTCAGCATAAGATACAGGTCATAAAGACCTTGCTTATAAAACAGGTTGCAGTAAATTAACAAGCTAAAACCCACCAAAACCAAGATGGCTACCACCTCTGGTCATCCTCACTACTACACTCCCACCAGCACCATGACAGTTTACAAAAGCCATAGCAACGTCAGGAAGTTACCCTATTTGGTCTAAAAAGGGGAGGCATGAATGATCCACCCCTTGTTTAGAATATAATTAAGAAAGAAACACAAAAATGGGCAACCAGCAGCCCTCGGGGCAGCTTTGTCTAAGGAGTAGCCATTCTTTATTCCTTTACTGTCCTAATAAACTTGCTTTCATTTTATGGACTTTTCCTGAATTCTTTCTTGCATGAGATCCAAAAACCCTCTCTTGTGGTCTGGATTGGGATCTGTTTCCGGTAAAAATCCTATCTCCTAAGATATTTTCAGTCAATTATTTTAGCATCCACTGTTTGCTTGAATAAATTATTAAGTTGGCTCCAAGGTAGTCATTTCATAATTCTTTCAATTCTTTTTACATTTATTAGTTGGCATTCTTTTCTCCATATCCACCCTCCATCTTTACCTTGCTCTCTGCCCTGTAAGACTGATCTGTAAAAACTACGGCTCTGCAGCCCTCTGGCTTCCTAAGTCTGGCTTATTGGAAGCAAAGACAAGAGAAACAGGAAAGAGGGAGAACTGTGAGGTCAAGAATTTATTCACTTCCTGCAGGGTAAATATGGACTGAACCAACTGACTCTGATTCAAGTTCCTATTTAGCCAACCCTTCTACATAGTCATCCTTGTCTCCAGGTTCTAATAACAGCCATCCTCTCTTCTCATTTAGGCCTAGAGGTTGTATAGGAGTTTTATTACAAGCTCAGAATCCTGCACTATCCTGGTATCTTGCACCCTTGCTTGTGGTTTTCCCATATTCCTCTCATACCTTTGTAAATAGTCCTTTTATTAAACTTTTCTCAAATGGCGTAACTTGTGTCATTGTTTTCCTGCTATGACCCTTGGTGTTTCATTTGCTTTGCTCACTTCCTTTTATTTCTCTTTCACAAGAATCACAGCTGCATTCAATGGCTCTTCCAAACTTCTCTGGATTCCTGCTCATTTTTCCTCATGATGTTTTTACAACAAATCTTTTGGACATCTAGTCTATCTTGGCATTTGCTGCTTGGAGGACCTAGACAAACATTGTAGTTTATTAACTTCAAGCATTCCCATGCCATAGACTTTAGTTAAAGCTTATAGAAGAATTGAAAGAGTTGAATATGTTGCCATCAATTTAGTATCTATCAAGAAAGATTCTCTTGTACTAGCATTTCAATAAAGGTGCCTGAATTGAGTGTGTGTCAAGGGGGTGGTTAGACTTGGGGTTAAAAACAACTGGGAAAGATATAAGCTAGCAGCATATGTTAAAATCAGAACCGTATTAACTTGAAGAAGTTCTAACTCATATCCTTTACTCTTATGTCTTCAGTTAATGTTGCCCTGTTTTTGTCTTCCTTGCTGTTTCCAGGGAAAGAATATTCAAGGCATTTGTTTGGATGGTGGAACTAGGGTCTATGTGTAGGTCTAGAGATGGCACATGCACCTTCATGCTAAACTCTCCATCAGCAGAAAAGTGGAAAAGACTTTAGAATGAGTTTTAATTTCTGGGGCTGTCACTTATATGACCTTGGAAGAGTTCTTTAGCTTCGATGAACTTGTCTCTTATTTTATGAACAGGGAGGTAATAAATATTCACTTTTAAACATTTTTTTGAGGATTGGTGAAACTGCCTATAAAGGACTTAGCACTGTGCCTAGAATATTGTAGGATATTTGGTCTATTATTTTTGTCTACATGTGTGAATTAGAAAAAAGCCCAATCTATTGATAAGATGTTTGGATCTCCAGTCTCCAAGGAGAGTGTCTCCTCACTCCACTTAAACACCAATGCTGGTGCCCCACAGCTGTGTAACCAGGACTTGTTCCCAAAGGCCAAATGCCTGTGGTCTCTGGAGCAGTTGCCTGAAGAGTGCTGCTGCTGTAATTAATTGTGGTAAAGTTTTAATGAACCCCATAAGGATATTTTTTTCTGACACTTACTTTGTAAAACCTAAAATAGTTTCTATTCCTATGAGATCAATTATAAAGTTTTTTTTTTTATCTTTACCAAGATGCCTGAGACAACTTTCCAGCTGTGTCTTTTTAATGAATTCTCCACATGGCTCCTGGGCCATTGGTTCTTCCTACACTGAGACAGCAGGAGCTCCCGGGGAGCAAGGCATGGAAACTTCTGAGATCCAGAAGATGATTTCCCTGGGAAGGCTCAGAAGTGCACATTCCTTTCAACTTAGAATCTCTCTAGATTCATTCACAGCCACTGAGGGAGGGAGGAAGTGATGGAGAGTACTCCAGAAGGCCTTAATATGTCTCTTATAGATCAGGCCTTTCTCATTAGTTTTATATTTGAGTCTAGACTTTGGGCCTCTCAGCTCTGTCTTGTTGACTAGCAACTAGAGGAGGTGTGCTATAGATCAAATCCTCAATATAGATATGAAAAGCATATCTATACTCTTACTAACCCCAACCCCAGACTCAGGCTACCTCTGGTCTTTAATTAACCTGATGGATGTGCCAAATGATCCCTCACTCCCAGGAAATGTGCTTATCCACATACAGGCCAGTTTGGACATTCAATTGAACGAATTACTCAATTTGTGATGAAAAACATTTAATTTAAGCTACTTTGGAGAAATAAGTTTAGGTCTATAAGGCCAATTTATGAAATAGACTGACATTTATTGCTGAAGTAACCAATTCTTTTGAGCTTTCATTCACATTGGTTTTTACACTTACCATCTGTCTGACATCTCAGCAGCATTGAGATTAAGGTAATTGAAAAAAGAAGCCAGGGTGGATTCGATTTAATATAGACAGTCCAGTCAGTAGAGGTATTGCCAAGATATATCTGATGGAATTTTATAAAGAGGCTTCAGCTCATTATTGAAAGGTAAACAATACTGACACTTATAAAATACTTCCTGGAAAAAAGTAAGCCAGCAAGGTACTAATAGTCAAAAAAGTTTCCTGGATATGTTAGGCAATTTTGTTTAGATAAATTCAATTTAATTTATATAGGGTGATCAGATGGTCAGAGGTTTTAGAGAGAAAGTTCTTAGAGTGAAGAATTAGTTAACAGAAATATACAATTTTAGGTGATTATAAGTGGTCTCTTAAAGCAGAGAACATTTATCATACATGCTTATCTCTTTTTCCTCCCCAGCTACCACTAAAATGGCAAAAAAGCAAAGGTATAATCCACAGAAAAATATAAAATTAGAGGGAAGACAGAAGCAGACCAGAGAAACTGCAGATTTCTTTTTCAATACAGAAAGGCACAAGGGGAGTAGTAACCAACTTATCAGATAAGAAGCTACCAGCTAACAAGCACGCAAAAGAGAAACCACTTAGAAGCACAGTGCATTCCTTTCAAGGGTCCTCAGGAAACTTCAGACTAGCAATAGTTGAGAACGAGAATACAAAAAGGGTGAAAACAGGGGTGTAAGCTGAAAATCTATTATTACAGCAGCTGAATCCTCTGTCCTCTTTACCACCACCACTCGGTTAGGCAAAAACGTGCCCTAAGCAGGAGCCTAGAGGTTATTCTATGGAAAAATTGAAGATAAGGCTTAGATTGCAAAATCTTAGAGCAGAAGACAGTGAGGCTTGGGACTGAACTCAGAGAAATCAATAACCAATGTGAAGACCCAGGGAGGAGAGTACGCCCCATGATGCTCCCTGCCTCTCAGTCTTTCATACTCAGGTACATTCTCTTCTTTCTCATTTTATAAATTAACAATATGTTAGAAAGATCATTCATCATGACCAGTGGGATTTATCCCTGTGATGCAAGGATGGTTCAACACACAAAAATCAATCAGTGGAATACATCATATCAACAGAATGAAGGACAAAAACCATATGATTATTGCAGTTGATGCTGAAAATACATTTGATAAAATTCAACATCCCTTCATGATAAAAAAACCCTAAAAAAACTGGTGATAGAAGGAACATACCTCAACATAATGAAAGCCATCTATGACAGACCCACAGCTAGTATCACAACAAATGGAGGAAAACCTGAAAGCCCTTCCATTAAAATGTGGAACACGACAAGGATGCCCTCTTTCACCACTGTTATTTGACGTAATACTGAAGGTCCTAGCTAGAGCAATCAGACAAAAGAAGGAAATACAGGAATCTGAATTAGGGAGATACAGTAGCTGTCAGTAGTATATTTGCAACTTTTTGTAAAATTATTTTAAAATAAATTATTTGTAAAAATTACATAATATTATGACAAAGAGAAGAAATTTTATTCTTAAAACAAAGTCATCCTTTGAAACTATTAAACTTATAGTAAATTTTTTAGATGTCAACTTAAAATAATGCAAGGGAGTTTGGAAGTTTTCAAAATTCTTTCAATGCCAATGACTTATATCATGCTTGAATTTTCTACCTAAACATAAACTCATTTCTCTAATTCTAATTCCAATTAGATATCTTAACCTATTTCTATTTGAAAACAAAGGAATTAATAATCATATAATCCACTGGATGAATTTGTAAAATTTAAAATCAATGAAAAATCTAAAAGAATTACAGTTTCTCCATATAAAAACCCAAACATTAAATGGAAACATATTTGTAGCAAACAAAAACACAGAATCCATAACTCTAATGAATAAAAAGTGCATGTAAATTAATAACAAATATTGTTATATGCACGGTTTGCTGATATTAACTACTTTTTTCATTCATTCAGCAAGCATTTATTGAGTGCTTTCCATTGGCCAGGTCCTGAGCCAGGCACTCTGGATAGGAAATGCAAATGCCCAATAATACAATAATGTTACATTCAAATTTCCTAGTAATCAGACATATCCAAATTAGAAAGTTGTAGTTTTAGACTATCAAATTGTTGAAGACAGTTTAGAAATTATATGCAGGCACACTGAGAGAAACATGAAAGCAGGGAGTTGTTTAAAAAATTGGTTGGGAGGCCGAGGCGGGTGGATCATGAGGTCAGGAGATCGAGACCATCCTGGCTAACAAGGTGAAACCCCGTCTCTACTAAAAATACAAAAAATTAGCCGGGCGCGGTGGCGGGCGCCTGTAGTCCCAGCTACTCGGGAGGCTGAGGCAGGAGAATGACGTGAACCCGGGAAGCGGAGCTTGCAGTGAGCCGAGATTGCGCCACTGCAGTCCGCAGTCCGGCCTGGGCGACAGAGCGAGACTCCGTCTCAAAAAAAAAAAAAAAAAAAAATTAGTTGGGAGGGAGTGCATCAGGATAAATAGCTCATGCCTGCAGGGCTTAATACCTAGGTGATGGGTTGATAGTTGCAGCAAACCATCATGGCATATATTTACCTATATAACAAAACTGCACATTCTGCACATGTATCCCAGAACATAAAATAAAATAAAATAAAATTTTAAAAAAATTAGTTAAAAATGGAAAAATTAATTGAATCAATCTTTTTAAAGAATAACTTTATAATATTATAATAACTACCTCTTTATTTTTCAACTTAGCTCTAATGAGAACTCTGCAATATTACTTTATACCCAATTTACAGATGGAAAAACAATTTGGAGATGTTAGTTATCTTGTCCAAAGCCACATAGAGAATCATCAGTTAAAATTATATTGATTGATAGATTGCCTAGATTATCATGGTAAGTGGCAAACAGCATCAGAAATTTTATGTATAATGTGAGGTCTATTAAGCTAAAAATATATGAAAATTGGGAAAAAGAAACCACCAAATGTCAACAAATCTACCTTTGAGGTGTGGCCTGATGGGTGAATTTCATTTTCTTCCATGATGAGCACAGGTGGTATTTTAAAATAAAAGAAAGACAAAAGCATTTTAAAAGTTGTTCTGCATGAGAAGCACTAAGGCCCGTGAAACTCAATCAGACAGCAAGACCATCTTTCCATGTGACACTAATGTGCCTCCTAACGCTTCCCAAAGGCAACATAATAGACATGGAATAGGGCAGTGGTTAAGAGCATGGAATTTGATGTGCATTTAAGGTTACTTAAGCTCTTGGATTTTTAATTTTCTTATTCATATAAAGTCATTTCATTTTGGGTATGCTGCATGAGAGTATATATACAAGGTTCCTGCCACATATCAATAATAGAACCAATGTTTCAATTATGGTTACTAGTAAAGCTTAGAAGGTGGGTGTTGTTTTTCTAGAGATAAATGTGTACTCAATTCAAGCCTTTCAGATACAGTTAACAACTAAACATGTAAAGAATACATCTAAGAAGAATATACAAATTTAAGTTAGATAATTTTTATTTATTTCAAGTGAATTCAAAGGGAGGCTGACTGATAAGTAATTCACTGTAATGGATAATTCCAACTCCTCTGTAGTTGTTCAAATACTGAGAACTGAGCAAGATACACCAAATCTCAAACCTCTAAACTCCTCTGAGTGACGAAGAGGAGATATCTTATGGCCTGGAGCCCTTGGGGATATTGAACATTCTGTACGTGGGTCCTTTCCATATCAGTAATCATTAAATCTTATGATTTGCAACCAGATATCAATCTAGAAAACTGAAGAAAAAACTTGCTTTGAACTCCAGTTTCCAGGCACTCTTGAATTCTCTTTGACTTATGCCCATTCTAATTATTAAAATATGAAACTCCTCTTACTCTCTTGATCAATGATAAATCAATAATCTTTGATTAATATACAGGCATTTCAGATTTTTATACAGTTATGCAGGTTGTTTTTAAGAACAGAAAAGACATTTATATTGCTACTTTCCGTGACAATAATGTGTCCAGACTTGAAAACATGAAACAACTTAAAAATTAAAAAGCCTTGGGAGTGGTGGCTGCTATCCCACAATAACACTGGGTCACAAATGAGCCCTCCTGGATACGGGTACATGGCTTATGCCCAGCCAACATTTAATGTGGAATGTTGGTATAAATGTGAGGAATTCAGCATTAGACTTTTGCAAAAGATCTATTGGTTAATTATGTTATTAAAGATTAATCTATAAGCTATTTGTCAAGAAAGAGGGAAGGACAAATTAAAATTATATTTTTCTTGAAATGAAGAATCAGGCTACCTGTGAGAGAAGGAATCACTGAGTCAGTGGGATTTCTGCCTAAGGTAGCCTACGCATGGTCTCACATTTGTGCCTTCCTAGGGATAGGTAGACTGGGGAGGTAGAGGACATGTGTACACAACATTAGTTAACACCGGAGCTTTGGGATCTGAGGCTGCTGATAAGTTTTTGTTGTTGATATTCTGGGTGGGGGTCATTCATTTATTTTTGCTATTTGTTATCTCATTACCTCAAATCCCTTGTTTGAGATTCTTCATTAAATTATGATCTCAATTAAATCTGGAAACAATTTACATTCAGAAGAGAGAAGATACCCTGCTGTGGAGACAGGACCCGAGAGAATATATGGAAGAAAAGTGACAATGAGGAAAGGTTAAAGATAAAAGTAAGAGAGGGAGGTGAGAAGGCAAGCATGCAAAGAAAACGACAAGGGAGATGGGAGAAAATGATGGAGAAGAAAGAAGTCAAAGGGAGATCAGGAGAAAGAAACAGGATAGAACGTAGGCAGAGGAAGAAGCTCTGCAACTGAGTTTCTTGCAAGTCATTTTAATAGCAGTGGCAATTCATGAGCAAAAAGATATGAGTACAGTCTGCTTTTCTAAGGCCATAAAAACAAGATTTTTAAATAAAAGTGCATATTTCATGAAAAACGTAAAGAAAGTGACTAACATATAATGATCTTGATGTTTTTCAATTAGTCACTATGAAATAAAACTAAGCATCATTTATTTTTTCACTTATTTATTCAGCAAGTCAATTGAGCATCTAACTACTGTGACAAGCTAGTGGGACTTCAGTATAATGGACAAGCAGACATAGTCCTTGCCCATAATGAACTTCGCTTCTAGTAGAAGAGGCAAAGAAGCAAATAATGAAAAGACACACAAATTCTAGTTTACTGTATGTGCCGCTCTGCTAGATAATAGCAATGTGGTTGGGGGAGGAAGGGATAAGAGCTAATTAAAGTGATAACTCTTGACACAGGGACCAGCATATGTAAAAACACTGATGCTGGAAATAGGTTAACGTGACCTAGAATTTGTTCTAGGTTCGGTGTGGCAATGACACACTGATCAAAGATGAGAACAACCGGAGTTATGATTTAAGAAGCAGGGAGGGCCAGATCATTTAGTGCTTTTAAAGCATTCAAAGGGAATTTGGATTGTACATTGCTCAAAGAGAGGGCACTGAAGATTTCTAAGCAGGAGAGATAATATACTATATACTAGTATATACTGTACTACATATACTATATACTAGTATATACTGTACTACATATACTATATACTAGTATATACTGTACTACATATACTATATACTAGTATATACTATACTACATATACTATATACTAATATATATTTTACCAGATATACTATACTTTGCATTTTAAAATACTAATAGGATACTTTTATTAGTTTAGTGGATTTTGTCAAGTTTGCCCAGAATGAAACCTCACAGAGGTTAAGAAAGGCACAGATCAAGTGTTCTCATTTAACCAATAATGATTTTAAGACAAAGGTTCCATTTATTTCTGTTACTTATAAGATAATTATGTAAATAATAAAACATTATGTATAGTACACTACAGGCTGTGCGGTCCAGAACGGGAACCAAATCTAAGGTTATACAATAAAATTTTATTTTGTATAGTGAATCTGTATCTGCTTACATCATTCAATTTGGAAATAGTGTGAAATATATAAATTATAAATATGAAGGTCAACACTCTCTCTTTTTTTTATCCATGCACCCCAGGAGACTGTAGATTGTGGTGGTGGCATTAAAGAGCAGGTGAACAGACTTCAACTTTGGAGAGTAAGATGAATCAAGAATGACTCAGTTTTTCATTTGAGTAACTTGCAGGTGGCAGTGATGCAACTTATCATGATAGGTAAGACAAGGAAAAGAAAATTATGCATTCCGTTTTGAATACACTAGCTTCAAGATGCCTGGGTTCTCATCTTAAATCTGCCCTTAGTCTTAATGAAGTCATATCTTCTCTAGCTTCAGAGTTACCTTTAAAATGACATCTGTGGATAAAATCGTCTTTAAGATTCTTTGCATGCCTAAAAGTTTCTTAAGTAGCACTTTACATTTATGCTGAGCTTTAGCATTTGCAAGGTACATTTTGATGCCTCATAAAAGGTATAGTACTCTTTTTATGCTGGTAGCGCATGAGCCATGCTTTCAGAAACATTTCTTCATTATCTACGGTGTCAACCAAATGCTTAGCAGTTAGAGGCAAAGATTGATAATTGAGTGGTTTTCAAAAAAACAAGAGATTTATAATCCTTTGGGTGTATACCCAGTAATGCTGCTATAAAGACACATGCACACGTATGTTTATTGCGGCATTATTCACAATAGCAAAGACTTGGAACCAACCCAAATGTCCAACAATGATAGACTGGATTAAGAAAATGTGGCACATATACACCATGGAATACTATGCAGCCATAAAAAATGATGAGTTCATGTCCTTTGTAGAGACATGGATGAAGCTGGAAACCATCATTCTCAGCAAACTATCGCAAGGACAAAAAACCAAACACCGCATGTTCTCACTCATACGTGGGAATTAAACAATGAGAACACATGGACACAGGAAGGGGAACATCACACACCGGAGACTGT